>NC_000017.11:7763838-7915353 GCF_000001405.40 Homo sapiens | reverse complement strand
CCTAGACGAACTCGCCCCCATCTACTGACTGTGCCAGTCTTACATTTTCAGGATGGAGTGGCCAAGGGATGATATAAACAAAGCCTACGTTACCGTGGGAAGAAGACAGACTGTTTTCTTAGCTGGGACGTTGGCTTTTGTCCAGGGTGGCTCTGGTGTGTGGGAGCAACAGGTCCCATTTTAGCAATTCTTTGTCAATGGTTTGAATTTTTTTTTTTTTTAAGATGGAACGGGAGAGAAGAGGCTAATTTTCGCGTCATGTTAATCTCACTTCTCTGGCATGTAAGGGTGCTGGTATGCCTGCTGTCTCCCCACTCCCAGTTCTGTGTTCCAGAAATTGAGATGGCTCCCTGCCTGTGACTATGATTAGGAGCCTTGCTTCATTTCAGAATCTCCCTTCAACCTGCTAGGGCAGGTATCAGAAATTCCAAAGGGCATTTATGTGAGGCACCTAATTAGAGCCTATCAAAGTAGGAAGGGAGAGCCATTTGAAAGGCATCATATTTCAAACTTTTGCTATTATCTGTGTTATCTTTACAGTCACGGGAACACACTAGCGCTACTGAAAAGATACTTATACAATTTTAAGTGTCTTTAAAATTTGTGTCCCATAATGGGACATCACCTGTTGTATATATGCCATGTATTCTATTTTAGAATCCTGTATCTTATGACCATAAAGTCATAGTCAAGGACCAGCAGTGTTGGTGTACTGTCAACGGAAGTGCACAGTCTCACTCTAGGATCCCACTCCAGACTTCCTGAATCAGACTCTGGCAGGGTTTTTTGTTTTTTTGTTTTTGTTTTGAGCCAGAGTCTCACTGTGTCGCCCAGGCTGGAGTGCAGTGGCGTGATCTCGGCTCACTGCAGCCTCCGCCTCCCAGGTTCAAGCGATTCTCCTGCCTCATCCTCCGGAGTAGCTGGGATTACAGGCGCCTGCCACCACACCTGGCTAATTTTTGTATTTTTAGTAGAGATGGGGTTTCGCCATGTTTGTCAGGCTGGTCTCAAAACTCCTGACCTCAGGTGATGGCGCCCACCTTGGCCTCCCAAAGTGCTGGGATTATAGGAGTGAGCCACCGCGCCGGGCCAGACTCTGGCATTTTAACAATCCCAGGTGATGTGTGTGCATGTGAAAATTTAAGTACCATTGGTCTAGATCCTACACTCTTTAGGATATCACCATCTGTAGGTAGAATATTTAAAGCATAATAGGTATGACTGATAGATTATTTTATCCAAAGTTCTTTTTTTTTTTTTTTGAGATGGAGTCTTGCTCTGTTGCCCAGACTGGAGTGCAGTGGCGTGATCTCGGCTCACTGCAAGCTCTGCCTCCTGGGTTCACGCCATTCTCCTGCCTCAGCCTCCCAAGTAGCTGGGGCTACAGGCACCCACCACCACGCCTGGCTAATTTTTTTGTATTTTTAGTAGAGATGGGGTTTCACCGTGTTAGCCAGGATGGTCTCGATCTCCTGACCTCATGATCCGCCTGCCTCGGCCTCCCAAAGTGCTAGGATTACAGGCGTGAGCCACCACGCCCGGCCCCAAAGTTCTAAAGTAACATTCTATTGCTAAAGAAATCCTAACCTACTATGTAACATTTTTCTCTTAGTTAAAAATGTGAACTTATTATTAACCTCAATTTTTTAGAGGCCTCCAATCTTTTTAAAATATAAATATTTTTGATTGACAAATCATAATTATACACTTATGGGGGTATAAACCTCAATTTTTGTAACCCTATTTTGGCATTTTCCTGTCCTTACATCTCAGCTTAAATGCTCCCTCTTTTGGGAGGCCTTTTTCTGCCTTCAACATAGTAGAGCCTTTTCCCCCACCCCTCTGTAACATAATGCCCTGTTTTATTTTTACTGCTTTTATTTTCATGCTTTGTGGGTGTCCCCACTGGAGTGTAAGCCCTATGGGAGCAAGGGCTGACCTGTGACTGTTTTATCTCCAGGGCCAACAGCAGTGTTACTGTATAGTATGTACTCAATAAATATTTGTTGGCTTTATCTCTTATTTTTTAATATAATAGCCTTGTGAACTAAGTGTCTGGCCTCTCTCAATCTCTCAGAGGCTCTGTTTAGTGAACAATAAACATCAAGGAAGTGCCTAGCAGTTCAAATCTTTGGTAAGCTAGACAGATCTGACCCTCAACGCCTTAAAAAAAAAAAAAAAAAAAGTGTGCCTTTGCTTCATACTGGAGCTGAACCTGTGGAGCTGTAGTGACCTCTACTGACTCTTAGGGGAACTAAGCAACTTGAAGGTGGAAAGGATGATCAAAAGGATGGCTGGAAGGCAGTTTTGAATCTTGATAGGCGCTCCTCCCACTACATTTCTGTCCAGTAAGTCCCACTCTCTCTGAAGTCAACCTGAGGCTACGTAGGTATCTGCTGCTCACCCTCCTTCTCTACAGAGGCCATGACATAGCTGGGGCTGGAAGAACCTCAGTTTTAGTGAATAATCTAAGAGATAAAAATGAGGAAAAGGAAAAAGTTGTAGGATTTTTTTAAAAAGAAAAGGCAGAAAGCAACAACCTTTCTTATCCCTCCCCCCAAAAACTCCCCCCCCCCATAAAAAATAACAGAGCACACAGAAAGGAAAGTATAATTTATATGTACAACCAATAAACCTGATACAGAAGAGGGGATCAGGACAGACCAGGAGTGGGTGTGAAGAGAGACTGGGAAAGGGGCAGCAAGAAAGTGAAGGGGCAGCAAAGAGGAAGTGGGGGGTTCGCCATGCAAACTGCCACTCTCCCCGGCCCCTCCTGGGAGGGGGGATGTGCCCACATTTCCCTAGCCTGCCCTCCACTATTTTGCTCTGGTCCCAACGACAAGGTAGCTCCCAAGACCCTGACTAGGTCCCCTGCCTGACTTATACAAATTTAGTCTGTATCCAGGCCTTGAGGAGGGAGGGTAGTAGAAGTCTTCCAGGAACCTGAGCCCCAGAGCTGGGCTTCCACCACATCTGGCCCATTGTATTCTCTCCCACCCTTCTAGGTTACCTGGGTCCCTAGAACAGGTTGGGGAGCTCCTCTTTGGCTTGAGGGAGTATCACCCAACCATTACTCTTTTTGTAGGGGTGGTCCTTGGTCCCTAGGGAGGGGGGAACATTCCCAACACAAGATGCCGGTACACAGGAGGTAACTGAGCCAGTGAACGGCACCTTTATTCTGAGGCTGAACAGCAGTTGACTTCCTCCCTCATAACTGCTCCACCCTCCACGTGGGGAGAGGTAGGGGACGGTAACATGCAGCCACCCCTCCTCGTCCCTTCCTCCCTCCCAGGGCTCATTTTCATCCCTCTCTAAAGTCCCCCTCCTCTCTTCAAAGCTCTCTTCCCCACAAAAGTTCCTAAAGGCCAGGCAAGGCTGATTCTCCACTTCCACATGAGACAGAGCTGATTCTGCAGGGAAACGGCTGGGGAGGCTCCACCTCTTTCCTCCCCACAACCATTTACTGGGAAGTTGTGTATACTTGGCAGTGTGGGAGGAAGGTACTTGGAAGACCCTGCCAGCCATCTCCCACCCAGACTTCTTCTCACCAGCACAGTCTTCAAGGCTTGGTGGGAAAGGTGTGTGGGAGTGGAGAAAGACAAAGGGCCCTTCTTGAAGAGAGGAGCTGCAGAGAGGGGCAAAGGGGTTCCTAGCCCAGTGATGGCCCAAGGGGTGGGGAAGGTGGAGGGCTGGCAGCAGGCCCCAGCGCTTGAGCTGGGGGTCGGCCTCGGGGACGGGGCCTGGGTGAAGGGCAGGCCTGGGATCCAGTCAGTCGTCTATACAGATCACCTCCCCGGCTCGGGGCTCCTTCCGATCCAGCCCGTCTGACACCAATGCCCCCACCATTTCCTTCTCCTTCTTCACAAGCACTGGAGGGCCGTTGGTGGCGGCTGTTTGGGAAAGGGGTAAGGAAAGATCAATCTCCAGATCACTCTCAAACGTCACTTCATGACAATGGTGAATTCTCACTTCTAGGTCACCTCCTGCCACTTCCCGTTGTCCCACGTGAGGGAGGGAAGACCCGGGCAAACCCCTTTCCCTGAGATTCCACTTTGTGCTACATGATTGAACACATGTTCCCACTCTCTAACCCCTCGGGTTTCATATTCACTTTCCCTTGAAGGAACCCGGAGGGAGGTGGCTCGGGTAGAAGACACCAAGCCACAGATCTACTAAAACTCTGGTTTTTAATAAAGGGGACTGAAGAGGGGTTAAGAAAGGGATGGGTGGGGGGACAGCCTAGAACAACTCTATCCCATAAAACACCGGATACCACCAAGGAAATGAGATGGACTAGAGCAGTTAAAGGGCAGCTGAGCAGAAATAAAGTTTGGCAAAGGAGGAGTGTGAGTAGCAGGGGGTAGGAAAACACCAGCTGACCTGTGATGAAGGACCCTGCAGGCATCTGGCTGTAATTGGCGCCTGCGGCGGCCAGGGCCCCTACGGGTGCGGCGCTGAAGGCCGCCCCGTACCCCGGAGGTGTAGCGTAGGGACCCGGCGGGTAGGCCTGGAACAGAGAGGAAGCAGAAGTTGGAGTTAGTTCATAGTCTGTGAGAGGAAAGAAGCTGTAGGAGAGACATTATGAGCCACACTCCACAACTGCTAAGGGTAGGATACACAGGCAGGGAGACTCACTCAAGGGTGATGACTGTGTTCTAGCAAGTTGTTTTTCCATATTGTATAGGATTCTGATGGAAGTGTTTGTATGTGTGCAGGAGGAACACAAACAGGGAAAACTGGAGCTAGGGGGAAAGAGGGTTACCGGTGTGGGGTGAGGCTCCGTGCCCTTGCTGGCCAGCCGGCTGAGGATGCTGCGCTCGGACATCTGAAGGCGGGCTGCGATGGGGGGTATTCGGGACAGCGTGGCTGGCAGGCGGGTCACGTCCGCCTTCATGTCGCTCAGCAACTCCTCCAGCTGGTTCAGAACTGGGGCCCGGGCCACAGAGAAAGAAGGGCAAGAGAAAGACAGGGAAATACAGAGATGGAGCCAGGAAAAGAGAGGCATCAGATGGACAGATACAGGCAGAAAAAGAGCGAGAGAGGAGAACACAGATGTCAAAGAACCAGAGATCAAGAAAGTAAAAGAAGTAGATGGAAAACAGAAGCAACTCAGGGGAAAAGAAAAAGTGTCAGGAAAAGAGACAGAGAGACCAGATTACCACAGAAGACAGATGGAGAGAAAGAAGAAAGAAAAAGGGAGCATGGAGGAAAGGAAGATGGGGGGACATTGGAAGACATGGGGGCGGGGAGTTGTCAGAACATCTCATACTGGAAGAGCAAGGTTTGGGGTTGGGGATGATGGGGAGGAAATAGTCAGGAGGCATGGGAGGTGGTAAGTGTCAAAGCTTTAAGGAATCACGGTTTTAATATGTAAGGGGAGAGGGAGGTTAGAAGGTCAGTATTACAGATTCAAGGAATTAGAACAGGGATCAAAGGGGCCAGGAGTCAGTGACTACACCAGGCAGGATTAGATGGTTAGAGGGCTTTGGGATATAATCTCTATCAATGGCAAGGTGAGAGGGGGTAGGAGGAAAGGTCGAAGGTCAAAGGGAAGTTTCATGGGGTAAGGCCAGAGGGTTGGATGGGTGGTAGTTTCTGCCTTATGGGGTGAAACACATGTGAGGGAATGTGATTTGTTTGATCACAGCCAGGGATCTGTATGGTGCATTCACAGTCCAAGGCCCCTAACTGGATGATGTTAAGCAGTATGGCAGGCATGCAGTTCCACTGCCAGTGAAGAGGCCCCACTGTGTGGAGGGGACACAGAGGCTGGGGCAGGTCCCTCTATTGGGCACGGATGTGAATGCTATCAGACATGGATGAGGGTTGGCTTGCACAAGTCCTAGAGGCTAAAATCCAAGGGGGTGCCAGGTCGGTAGGAGTGGGGTTAGAGGTCAGAGGGGGATGGTTCAGCAGGTAGAGGGGTCAGGGGGTGGGAAGATTTTGAGGGGTGCGGGGTGAAGACTTACGCAGCGTTGTGGGCCCTCCCCCGCGCGGGGCCGCCGCGGCCCTTACCCTTGTGCAGGACGGCGTTGGCCGGCTTGTTCCCCGCCAGCGACTCCTTGGAGAGGTGCTGGTGGCTCTCGGCCAGGCACTCGGCCTCGGCGAAGCGGGCGTGGAGGGCCATGGCGGGGTGCGCCGGCTCCTGCGACAGGTTCAGGTAGGCCGCCCGCCGCAGCTGCTCCTCAATCACCAGCGCCTGCTCCAGGAGCTGAGGGCACAGAGTTGGGAGGTGAAGGTAGGGCTCTGCCAGCAGTGGGTGAGGGGCTGGGGGGGCGGACATAGCAAGAGACCCACCCTGCCCTCACTGCTGGCCCAGGGCACTCCCAGCTCCAAACCGACTGCGAACCTAGCAGCAACCCTGACCCAGATCACACTCCCAAGCACAAGGTTACACTTTGGTCTTGGCCCCAGGTATCACCTCAGCCCTGAAGGTGTTAACCTTCCCTAGGTTCCAACTAGATCTGGTCTCACTTCTGACCCAAGCCCGTCTATAACCCGCTCCTTTCCTCCCTCATTCCCACCTTGAACCTCCGGGCCAGGAACTTATTTTTCATCTCCAGAAAGTTCCCCTTATTGGCTTCAGTTTTAAATGGCTCGTTGATAATGGCAAATTGAGCATCATTCTGGATGTCCTGCCACCGTGCATAGCCATGGCTACCAATGAAGGAAAAGGAACCATCAAGGAATTTAACAGGAATGGGCTTGGCTTTGAACACTTCTTCCTTTTGGCTTGACTCCCCAAAGTGTGGCACTAGCCCTGTCCCTGGGTGTGAAATCATCTTTTTTTTTTTTGCCAGCTTGAGAGAACCTTTTCCTTCTTGCATGTGTATCAAAGGATACAGGACAATCCCAGCCAGAAGCCAATAGTCATGTCTTCTGTGCCAGATCTCATTGAGTTTCCCCGAGGAAATAGCTGCCCGTTCCTCATTCTGCCACAGTGTGTGAAGCTCTGCAAAGAAGGCAGCAGACAGAAGAGGTAACAGGGTTTTGCAGACTGCACTCAGTCCAACAGACAGGTAGAGATGGAGAAACTGAATAATGAAAGGGAACTAAGGGCTCCTGAAGAGGAATGGGTAAAGGTTAGGTTTGGAACAAACTCAGTTCTAACCAGGTTCGTTAGAATTAAGAATAAAGGTGGGATTAGGGCCAGCTTTGGAGTTAAGAGGGATACTTAAGAAAGATTTAGAGCAAGGATCGGAGTCAGCATGCAACATACTTCATTGGAAGTTACTTGGAATTAAAGGTAGCAGGAAGCCTCAGGCAAAACGAGAAACCCCATGAGGATGAGCAGATCCCCTTGAGGAGCAGAAAGCAGCGAGAGTCTCCCCAACCTGTGAAGCCACCATCGGCGATATTGAACATGAACCGGGGCTTCTCTGTCTTTTCCTCTCGTCGCCCATTGGACCGTGGCTCATCTCGAGGCCCTGGTCGAAGCTCCCGGTCACCTTTTACATCTTCTGCTAGGACAGACAGGTCAAAGCTCACACCTCAGGACACCCTCCTCCCAGGTCCCAAGACTACTATCTGTACTGTACTGTACTGGCCTTTCAAACAGCTACCCGCCCAGGACCCAAGCATTCGGTTCCCCAGACTCCACCTCCCCTGATGCCCTCTGGGACCCAGGTGTCCGGTCCCTTCCACCCATTACCTCTCTTGCCCAAATCCCCTGTTTCCCCCTCCGGCCTCTCCCTGTGTTCCTGTCCATCCAACGGCTTCTCCTCCCCCCTTTCTCCTGGCGTCGACTCTGTGGCTGTGGGAGGGGGTAGGGGATAGGAAGGGAGGATGTTACCCTCATCCCCTGACCCCAGAAGAGGGAAATCCCAAATTCTAATCCCCCATCACTCCTAAGGCCATGCACCCACCTGACTTCTCTCTGTCCCCACGGTACCCAGGTTCAGGCTCCATCTCTCCAGGCACCCCTGGCACCTCATCCTCTAGAGGAATCTTCCTTGGCTCCAGCCGCTCCCCAAGTGATGGGGCTGGGCTGGGGGCATCAGCCTGGAAGAGGACAATGGGGTCAGGATGAGCCAGAGGGCTCCCAGGTACCTGGCCTCCAAGCCCCCTCCCCTCCCGCTCCACAGGGGAATCCAGGGAGCCACACACCTCTGTCTCCATCTTCTCCCCAATTCTGCTGTTCTTCTCTGGCTTTTCCTCCTGGTTTTCAGCTTCCTCCTTCTCAAGAGGTGTCCTTATGCCTTCTCCTTTCTCACTTGGAGCTGGAGTAGCTGCAGGGGAAGGCACAGTGATAAAGACAGAGATTCTCCCGCCCTGACTCCTGGCTCCCTTTCTGTCTCTCCCACCATCCTGACTTCTGATTACCAGGTTTAGAGGTGCAGGGACTGTTGGTAGCAGAAGCCTCAGGAGTGGTGGGAGACGTTTTGGTAGGAGAGGAGGCTCTGGAGGAGCGCTTAGAATCGGCGCTGGGGTCAGGCATCAGTTCCGGCATTGACCAACGCCCATTGATGTGCTCAAACTCCTGCACCTGGGGTGGCAGGGTGGGAGGGTTAGGTGTCAGCTCCAGGCGCTTACAGACAGGAAGCTCCAGTCTCCTCCGTCTCACACCAGCGCAAGCTTACAACTCAGGGACAGAGGCAGAGGAAGGACAGAGACTAGGCAGCCAGCTTGATTCTTTGGGTGACAGGAAGACTGATACCTTCTTTTTGACGAGAGACATGACTCCAATGCGGGTCAACACCTGCTGGCGACTCAGTCCCTCCCGAGGGACCCCATCGGCAAAGGTTTCAGAGCCGTCTGCCCCAGGCTCACACAGATGGCGCATGAACAAAGACACATAGGCCCTAAGGAGCATGGGAGTGGGAGGAGGGTTAGGGGAGCCACAGAAGGGGTATAGGGCAGTGAGGGAGGCGCGAGGATGACTGAGGACCCCCAAACCCCCAAATCCCCAGGTGCTCCAGGGCTCCTCCCCTGGGCCTCTCACTCTCACCATTACCAGCCCTCCAAGTCCTAACTGTCCCCCTGCGCCCCACCCCTGGGTCTTTCCCTTTGGCCTTGGTACTTAATTCCTGGGCCCCATCAGTCAGCTCTTCATCCTTTCCACCAGCTCCTCCTGCCAGGTTATTGTGGTCAAGTAAATGTGAGGCTAGGACAGCCCAGGAGAGGCTCCTTGCTTCAACGCCCCTCCCCTGGGGAGGATGCCTGGCCCCTCTACTCTAGGCTCGGCTGAGGGGAGGTGGAGTGGGCTGAGACCACCCCCCAGGAAATCGAGCCAGGAAGTATTGTATGACAGGGAGGGTGATAATCAGTTGAGTAAGGTCACATCATATGGCGGCCCCAAGGAAGAAAGGAACACCCAAAGCTCTTCCCCTTGCGTCCAACTCAGCCCTGTATCACCCACACTCACTTAAACTCCTTCTCAGTCTTGCCCCTCAGGTCCCGCACCAGCCACTGTGTGGTGAAGGCATCCTGTGGTGGCATCCCCCAGCGCATCACAGCATTGAGGAAAGCCTTCCGCTGACGGGTGTTGAAGCCCAGCACCTGAGGGTGGGAGCAAGGAGGCAATGGCGACAAATGTCTAGGGTTCTTAGGTCTTGTCCTTTCTACCTTCAGTGATCCAGGCACCAACTTCCAACCTCCTGCCCTCATGCCCTCTTGGAGAACTCAGGAACACTGGGCCCAGCTCTCACCTCAATGTTGCCCCCGACTCGGGCCAGCAGTGGAGGCAGTGGCTTATCTTTCTCATTCCGGAGCTGCCTCTTTGACTGTCTACGCCCTGAGGGTGGGGATGACATCAGTTAGCTGAGCCACCACCTCCTCTAAGCCTCAGTCCTCCTTAGCACCCCATTCCCACAAGATACACAACACAGGAACATTCCTGTCACGTTTGAGGTGCTCCCAATTCTCTCCCAAGCACTTCAGAACTACTAACCCACTAAGTCTAAAAGAACCAGTCATATTTTAAAATTAACAGCTGATATCTGACAAAGGCCCAGATTACCAGTGGGAATGGAAAATGATATGGCCTTTCTGGATCTAGCCTATGTGGTCACACACACCGAAGTTTACTAGCAGAGAGACTATGAATATTTCTTCCTTTCTGCTCATCTGCAATCGAGTTTTTCCACACACACACGAAGACTTTTTTACTTGTATAAAAACAGTGGGCTTAAAGCAAACTGGAAAATAAAACGGGAAGAGGTGAGGTAGAGTCAGGAACACAGATGCCACCTTCAGGACGTTCATCGAAGTCTTCATCCTCCTCCTCTGAACCCACCGAGTACTCTGACTGGTTGTCTGTGGGGGTGGAAAGGGCCCAGTGGTCAGGGAGGGCTCTCGGGATATGCCCATGCTGAGGCCCTTTCTGGCTGGATTCCTCCCTGCCGAGACTTGTCTACCTTTATTCTGGCCTTGGTCCTTCTGGGAACACCAGATCACTGCCCAAAGTCTGACTTGGGAGCCGCATATCCTACACCATCTCCATTCACCGCCCACCTTCAGTCTCTGGGCCCCTCTGCTTCTCCTGCAAAACCTACTCTAAGCAATGGCCCTGGGTGTCCACAGGATGCCTGTGCAACCACCGAAGAGTTTAAATCTCCTGCAAACCCACCTGGCCTCTGGGTAGTTCCTAATGACTCTACCTTATGTCTTTCCCTTTTAGCAGAGGAAGGCTCTGACTTCTAGGCTTCTCTCTTTCCCTCTAAATAGCTCCAGCCTTCAAGTCCCTACTCATCATCACTTCCCCCCTTTACTGCCTGCATCTGGGGCAGTCCTCACCTTGGTCTTCCTGAGCAGCATCATTGTAGTTAACTTGCTTGCGAACCCGCTTGCCCTTGCCTAGATTCCGGGCTAGGTCTTCCTGCTGTTGCTCATAGTGATGCCTCAGCAGCTTCTCCCAGTAGTCAGGGTCCACATTCTCCTCCTGCTTGATGATCTCTCGCTCAATTTCCTCAATCTGAAGGGCAACAGAATGAATGAACACTGGGGGTCTCCTTCTTTGCTAATCCTTCCACTGCAAGGAAATCCCTACTCTGCTGCGTCAGCCCAATCCGGTCTCCCCACTCCTGCAGCTTCGTGGCTCTGCATACATTTTCTGGACATTGCGCATGTTCCATGCCATCTCTTACCTGCAATGTGCTCTCCTCATGTTTTCTAAATCTCTCCTCTAATCCCTCTGACAGTGTTTCTCCTGCACTGTCTCAGAAGGTACCCTTCTGTGTTTACCAGTACTGTCTGTGCCTACGTTTCTCTCTGAAGTCCAGTCTCACCTATTAGACGAAGAAGTTGTTTGAGGTCCACTACTGTTTTAAGGGGGACAGACCCTCCTACTTCAAGGCTGAGTAAAGGATACTGCCTTTTGGAGATGGCCTGGGATAGATAATGTCTGGCCCCCAAAGCCTCTCACCTTGTCTTCTTCCCGCACGACGTACTGTGCCACCTTGAAGGAGCTGAGATACTCATTCATGTTCTGCACGTCAGTGTCCTCAGTTGCATCCTGGTTCCGGTCCAACAGCCGAGCGATGGCCTCATTGTCATAATGAATCACACTGCTGTCCTCCTCCTTGTTCTCCCCTGGTGAGAGGGAAAACAAACGGGAACTTTGGGTTCCAAAGTTTAGAAAGGCTGATGGGAAAGCTTCTACTCTGCGTCCTTTTCACAGGAGCCCTAGAGAAGGCTTTTTCCCCGGGAGCCAATGTTGAAAGGTTTTTGTTTTGTTTGTTTTAACCCTACAGGCAAAGAAAGAGGCCAACCTTCCTCCAAGGGCTACTAAAAGAAGGCTCTCCTTCCTTCAAAGGCTGCAGAGAAGAGTTGTTTTTCTCTCCCCAGGGGGCTGATAAGTACTCCTGAGAGAGCAGGGGCCTGCTTTCACAGAGCTGCAGAAAAGGTTCTCACCCTCGTTTTCATCCTTGAATAGCTCTTCAGTGCCAAATTTGAGAATGTCGTCAAGCTCCTGCTTGGACATGGAGCCTGCCTTGGAGCCCAGCCCAGGCCGCACAACCAGGTGTGTCAGCATCATCTTTCTCTTGGCCACTTGTGTGATTCGCTCTTCCACTGACGCGCGAGTCACAAACCGGTAAATCATCACTTTGTTGGCCTGGCCAATCCGATGAGCCCGGCTAAAGGCCTGCAGGGGCAAGAGAAAGTGGCGGGTGGGTCAGGGGAGTGGCCGGGGAGAAGCTGCCCATAGAGCTGCCTCAGGAAAGAAGGCTGCTGAAGAAGGGCCTTCTCTCCTCCCAGAAGAGATTTATTTCTGACCCCGGAACATGACACCCTCCTCCATGAACCCACATCTCCTTGCTAAATGGTGCAGGGGTTCTAGGATGCGAGTTCCCACCTGGATGTCATTATGGGGGTTCCAGTCAGAATCAAAGATGATGACAGTGTCAGCAGTGGCCAGATTGATGCCCAGGCCCCCAGCTCGGGTGGACAGGAGGAAGCAGAATTGTTGGGCCCCAGGAGCTAGGAGGTGAGAGTTGGATCAGGTTTTTCTTGTACCCGGTAGTTCTGTCCACCTGCTCCTAGATGTTCTCTGATGACAAACAACCATGCCCCCAACTCAAAGCCTAAGTTTCCAATGTCCCCCAAGCCAGTCCCCCTCCCATCCCAGGGACCTATCACAGGTTTCTCAGGCCTCCCACACCCACCAGGGACCAGTGTATCTCCCTCACCATTAAACCGATCGATGGCCTCCTGCCTCAGGGCACCCGTGATACCACCATCGATGCGCTCATACTTGTAGCCTTCATAGTCTAAGAAGTCCTCAAGCAAGTCTAACATTTTGGTCATCTAGAGCAAGAGAAAAGGATGGAGTCTGCAATAATGAGGTGGTGGGATGCTTGCTTATTCTAACTACTCCTTTACACAAACTCAACCCTAATCTTTACACCTGAACCCCTGCCCTGTCTTAAGCTCCTCATTATTCCACCTTCTTGTCACACTCTCTTTTCTTATTTTTATTTATTTTTATTTTTTTTTGAGATGGAGTCTCATTCTGTTGCCCTAGCTGGAGTGCAGTGGTGCCATCTCTGCTCACTGCAACCTCCACTCCTGGGTTCAAGTGATCCTACCGCCTCAGCCTCCCTAGTAGCTGGGACTACAGGTGTGCGCCACCACGCCCAGCTAATTTTTGTATTTTAAGTAGAGACAGGGTTTCACCATGTTGGCCAGGCTGGTCTTGAAACTCCTGACCTCAAGTGATCTTCCTGCCTCGGCCTCCCAAAGTGCTGGGATTACAGGTGTGAGCCACCACGTCTGGCCCTCTTGTCACACTCTCTTGATTTAAGATTGTTTCTCCTAAGGCAGAGGTTCTCTGAGACCCATGAAAAGGTTTCAGGGAAATCCAGGAACCCCCTGAAAATCCGTACAAAATTGTGTCATTGTATGTGCAGTTTTCTGGTGAGTAGACCCAGAGCTTTCATCACATTTCCAAAGGGTCTGTGCCCTTCACCCTCACCTGCCAATAAGATGAAGAAATAATACCAGTCCCTAAGGAGGCAGATGGCTCACCCTCCCCCTTCCCTCATGCAGCTGAAAAGGAACTAGAGCTGGACCTCAACTTCCAGCAACCTTAAGAACAGGCATCAGAGGCCAAGAATGAACTTGCTATACAGTAATCCCAGCACTTTGGGAGACCGAGGCGGGCAGATCACCTGAGGTCAGGTGATGGAGACCATCCTGACCAACATGGTGAAATCCCGTCTCTACTAAAAATACAAAAATTAGCTAGGCATGGTGGTGCACGCCTGTAATCCCAGCTACTTGGGAGGCTGAGGCAGGAGAATCACTTGAACCCAGGAAGCAGAGGTTGCAGTGAGCCGAGATCGTGCCACTGCACTCCAGCCTGGGCAATAAGAGCGAAACTCTGTCTCAAAAAAAAAAAAAAAAAAAAAAACTCTTACAGGAGGAATCTCCTCATTTGTCACACCAGAGCAGCCACAGGAAGACCGTAAGAAATTAAAGTCTGGAGGATGAGGAGAGGGAAGAGGAAGCAGATGTAAAGACAGCTAAGGGCACAGGTCACCTGCGAGAAGATGAGCACTCGGTGTCCTTGCTCCTTCAGCTTTCGCAGCATCTTCTGGAGCAGCATGAGCTTCCCAGACGACTTAATAAGTGCCCCACCCTCATAAGCCCCACTGGGGAGTTTGGGGGACTCCTGAAAAGGGAGGAGAGAGGAGGAGGAGGGGGTCAGTTGGAAACATGCCCCCATATTCTTGCCACACCTAGAAGGCCAGATGCCCGGATCCAGCTTCCACATGTTCCCAATTCCTCCTGTTCTCAGACACCCAGTCCGTGGCCTTCCAGCCCAGCTCCACCCCTGTGGCTCAATACCCACCTCCCCACTACTCCCCACCCATGTTTTCTGAGAATGGGCGTTCGATCAGCTCCCTGCTCTGTGTATCTACCATAGCAGCCACGGGAAAAAGGTATGGATGGTTGCAGCACTTCTTAAGATCCATCATGATATTAAGCAGCGACACCTGGTTCCCACCACCTCGTGAATTCAAGGCCTCAAAATTTCGAGTCAGGATGTATTTGTAGTATTTCCTAAAGGCCAGGAAAGGGGTGTAAAAGAAACATAAATAAAGGAAGCAATTATGATATTGCACTTGGAACGCTCCCATCAATCCCCAAGCCCTACTCCAGGCAGCTCGTCTTGCATCTTACTTCTGCATGGGGCTTAGCTCCACCCGAACGATGAGCTCTGTCTTGGCTGGCATGTTCTTAAAGACATCTGCCTTGAGTCTCCGCAGCATGTGTGGCCCCAGCAAATCATGCAGTTTCTTGATCTGGTCCTCTTTGGATATGTCAGCAAACTCCTCCAGGAAGCC
Organism: Homo sapiens; assembly: GCF_000001405.40. Classification (NCBI taxonomy): domain Eukaryota; kingdom Metazoa; phylum Chordata; class Mammalia; order Primates; family Hominidae; genus Homo; species Homo sapiens. The sequence goes on along the minus strand of NC_000017.11, from coordinate 7,900,567 downwards.
CTCCAAGTTGCTAAGAGCCAGAAGAGAAGAAAATTAACAGGTCGGCAAGTTCCTTGCCCCTGATCTCAGACTTACCACCTCAGATTAATCCTCTACCAGCTCATTTTATCTGCTCCACCTCTCATCTCTGCCAACTACCCTTAGGGAACCACTTACTTAAATCTCTCTGGGGTGAGGAAGTTCAGGAGATGGAAGAGCTCCTCCAGATTATTCTGCAATGGGGTTCCTGTCAGCAGCAACTTATGATCTATCTTGTAACCATTGAGAACCCTGAAAAACTAAAAGATGGGGCAAGGCAAGGCAGGAAAATGGGCTTATTAGTGACAAGTGACCGACCCACAGCATCAGCCTTTCCCTGCCCCAGCTCCCATTTCACTCAGGATCAGAGGCCCCAAATCTCTGGCCCTCTCCCTCTTCCAACCTGGACGTCCTCCCAGACTACAGAAAATCCCCAGAATTTTTGTTGTTTTTTAGGACCAAGGCAAGTGGGAAGTCCACAACTTCAAGTTTTTTAGGTCTGGAAACCTCACTCACCTTGGACTGGTTGTTCTTGAGTCGATGGGCCTCATCTACCACAAGACAGGCCCAGCGGATGGAACCAAGTGCTGCCTGATCAATGGTGATCAGCTCATACGATGTCAGGAGAACATGGAACTTCACCTGTGCCTCCCTCTGCCAACATAATTATTGCCCATTCAGCTGCCACCTGACAACCATGCACCTACACCTCCAGAACCAGACACCTTGTCCTGACTGTGGCTCCCAACAGGAGCCATTACTCTGTTCTCCAAGCAGGGATTACAGACCATGGCTCCTAAACCTCTGCCCACATTTCCAGTACCGACAGATCCATGTATGCCCCTGGGAGTACCTGCCATATCTCTAGGATGGTAGTGCAGAGACAGGAGGACAGGTGGAGGAAGAGGAGAAAGGTGAGGAGGGGAATAGAGAAACTGAATTCCTGGCTGAGAAAAAGAAGTGACAGCTTTGAGGGTCTCAGAGGATATGAGGTAGAGGGTCTTACCTTCATCTTAAAAGCTTTCTTGCCCCCTTTGATGGCATTGTCCTCAAAGGAGAATTCATTCTCACGAATGATGGCCCGGCTGTCCTTGTCACCCGTGTATGTCACCACATAGAATTTGGGTGCCCACATCTGGAACTCCCGCTCCCAGTTAATGATGGTAGAGAGTGGGGCACTCACCAGGAAGGGACCTTTTGTGTGGCCCTGGGAGTCAAGAATGGGGGCAGCATAAGTCTAGGCTAGAGGCCGTATACCCTAGTCCTCTGCCAGCTACACCCCTTTATCTTCCCCCTCCCCACTTCCCCAGTCCAGGCGGTCCCCTTCAAGGTCCTAGAATCCAGCACCTCCTTGTAGAGTGAGTAGAGGAAGACGATGGTTTGTATGGTCTTGCCTAGCCCCATCTCATCAGCTAGAATGGTGTCAGTGCCCTGGGCCCAGGAGAAGCGTAGCCAGTTCAGCCCTTCCAACTGATACATGTGCAGGGTGCCTCCAGTGGCTGTGATAAACCGTGGCTGAGTCTCATATTTCACGGTAGGCTATAGAGACAAGAAGTCAGAAAGCTCAAGGAAATAGTCGGCGGCTCCTCCAGTCTTAGTCTCTTCCTCCCTGGCATGGATACCAAGTTGGATTACAATTCCCTCTACTATGGCCTGAGTTTACAAAAGTTCTCACATCTAGTCTTCAGCCCCTCCCCCTCATTCCTTAAGACAATATCCAGCAGCACCATGGGGAAGGGCCAGCTGGTGACAGAGCCACCAGTGGGCTATCTCTAGTGGCTCCTGCCCTTTCAGGCCAAAATTCTTAGCCACTCTTGGGGCAAGACTGGATGCTGAAGGAAGAGCTACTGTTCACAGAGGTTACTGAATCTCTGGGAAGTTCCATCAGTAGCCCTTGGAAAATCTTCGATCACCATCACTCCAGAAACAAGAAATGACAACTGAGAGGACTCACATCATTAGTGGGAGAACTGGGAGGCCCATCACCCTGTAGCTCCTTCTTCTTCTTCTTATACTTGCGGGGCTGGGCAGGGTCTTCCCCCATAATTAGTTCTCTGGAAAAAGAGTGGGTCTGAATGAGGCCTCATCCTTGGGAGTCCTACGCTTTCTTTTCTGAACCCATTCCAGACCTACTTCCCACTGTCCATGACCTAGATTTTCCCATATTTCCTTTTTCCCAGGCTCTTTACCCTTGCCCTTTGGATTTCACCTCAAGAGCCAGCCCTCCCCACTCTTGAACATCCTCTTCTCCACTACTCAGCCAGATCTTGTTTCTGTTCCTTACACTACCTCTTTAGCAAGCCTATCTCAAACAACCCAGCTCAGGTGGCCATTGCCCTGAACTCCAGGTTGAATCAGGCCCTACTGTACCCTCATTTTATGCTGGAGTTTTGGCTTTCATGCCCTCATCGTCAGAATCCCTTGAATCCACAAGCTCATTCCCTCACCGGTGTCTCCAGTAGCTTTGCTTATGTTCTTCGTATTCAGGGATATTCATTTCATCTTCCTCCCACGTGGACTGGTCATATGGTAAGTCCCTCCATTTTACTAGATAGTGGTAATTCCCCTTTTTATCCACACTGTGGGGCAGGAGGCCATGGGGAGGAGCAGGAGGAAAATATTGCACAGATCACAAACAGAAAGAAGGCCTGAGAAACGCAATTATCAGCAAACACACAAAATTTGTCACCCAACCGTCAACAGTGAGCTGCTGGAAGGGAGATTGGAATAGTTGACCTAGCAGCCTAACCTTCTCAGGATGGTATCCTAAAAATCAGCTATCACAAAACATTCCTGGAGATCCCTCCTTATCATTTGTTCACCTAATCACTAAGTATTTTCCTCATGGAACTCAGAGTCTCGTGGGGAAGGCAGCATTGAAATAACTAAATACATACCATTAAGTTTAGGCAGTAATAAGTACTATGAAGAAGAAACATTCAAAACACTGGTCTGGATGAATTATGTCTCTCATGTTTTGCTTTCATGCCCTCATCCCCAGACTCATGTGCTATGTCTTATGCCACTGGAGATGACAGGAGGCAAAGGACAAAAGAGGCACTGCCTGGCCGGATTTTCCTCCTGTTTTCTCCCGTTCCCCTGGAGGAAACAAGGCCAGAAAGGCTGGAGCTACAGCAGAGGTTATCAAGGTTAGATCAATTACCTGGTTAATCAGCAAATACTAACATGGGGCCATCACCATGGTAAGAATAATGTCATATACCAGGTCTGACTTCCCAGGGACCGAGGATTCACCTGTGGTTGATGATGCGGTGGACGGTCATCCACTCTGGCTTGATGCCAAAACGATAGTACTTCTCCTCCATCTCAGCATAGTGCGGGTCTTTCACTTTACGCTTGTCGCTCTTCCCATCATCCTCGCCGGAGCCATAGTCCAGGGGTGGGGGCTCATCCATGTCATTCTTCCGCTGGTAGTTTCGATACATAACCAAATGGAAGATTTCCAGCTAGCAGGGCACAGAAAAAAGGGAAAGAGATAGTCCTGACACTCACAGAGGACAACAAGGAACCGGGAAGAGGCCGGCAGGAGGAATGGGACAGGGAAAGGGAGCTATGAAAAAGGATGGATTGGCCCAGGCACGGTGGCTCATGCCTGTAATCCCAGTGCTTTAGGAGGCTCAGGCGGGTGGATCACCTGAGGTCAGGAGTTCAAGACCAGCCTGGCCAACATGGCGAAACCCCGTCTCTACTAAAAATACAGAAATTAGCCAGGTGTGGTGGCGCACGCCTGTAATCCCAGATACTCAGGAGGCTGAGGCAGGAGAATCGCTTGAATGCATGAGGCGGAGGTTGCAGCGAGCCAAGATCACACCACTGCACTCCAGCCGGGGCAATAAGAGAATAACAGGCGCGTCCCAGCACTTTGGGAGGCAGAGGCAGGTGGATCACCTGAGGTTGGGAGTTCGAGACCAGCCTGATCAACATGGAGAAACCCCGTCTCTACTAAAAATACAAAATTAGCCAAGCGTGGTGGCGCATGCCTGTAATCCCAGCTACTTGAGTGGCTGAGGCAGGAGAATCGCTTGAACCCAGGAGGCAGAGGTTGCAGTAAGCCAAGATCGTGCCACTGCACTCCAGCCTAGGCAACAAGAGCGAAACTCCATCTAAAAAAAAAAAAAAATAGAAAAAAAAAGAAAAAGGATGGATTAGAGATAAATGAGTCAAAGCCAAGACGGAGAATAAATAAAATGAAACAGATGCAACAGTTTCAGAAGACAAGGCCTGGGTGGGGCTCTTACAAGCAAGAGATAGGGAATGGGATTAGAAACATTGAGAATTTTTTTTTTTTTTTTTTTTTTTTTGAGATAGAGTGTCGCTCTGTCGCCCAGGCTGAAGTGCAGGGACACGATCTTGGCTCACTGCAAGCTCCGCCTCCCGGGTTCACGCCATTCTCCTGTCTCAGCCTCCTGAGTAGCTGGGACTACAGGTGCCTGCCACCACGCCCAGCTAATTTTTTTGTATTTTTAGTAGAGATGGGGTTTCACCATGTTAGCCAGGATAGTCTCGATCTCCTGACCTCAGGTGATCCGCCCACCTCGGCCTCCCAAAGTACTGGGATTACAGGCGTGAGCCACCACACCCAGCCGAGAATTTTTTTTTAAACAGAGATGGGGTTTCACTATGTTGCCCAGGCTGGTCTCAAGCAATCCTCCTGCCTTGGCCTCCCAAAGTGCTAGGATTATAGGTGTGAGCCACCATGCCCAGCCAGGAATATTATAAAACATGGAAAAAGACAGATAAGGAAGGACATGAAGTTAGGAAAGGCTATGCTATATCTGAGGGAAGGAAGCTAACGGAGACTGAGAGAAAGAGGACTGTAGACCAAAAGAACCACATATGGAAACTAAGCAAGTAGGGTATGAAGGCCACAGGCCTGAAATGAGAGAAAACAAAGAGTATGGGAACCCAACAAACAGAGGAGTAAGAGAGGGAGAGGATGGCAGGAAATGAGGTCATGGGGGAGAGGGAAAGAAAAGGTCCTAGTACCTGAAGCTCCTTGGCCCAGGAGCAGTGCCAGTAGGATAGTCCTACCCACTTGACAAAGAACTCTCGCTCTGATCTGCCTTGAAGAGGACGGGGGGGTGGGACATCTGGATTTCCATCTGCCTGTTGAGGGGCTGGCACTGCTACAGGTGGCTCCCCCCACCGCCAATGTAGGATCTTCTGCACTCGACCCTTCAGCACGGGGCACTTTGGGATGGACACGTACAAGGAGGAGGAAAGAAAGAGGCAGAAAGAACCCATTGTTAGATGAGAAGATAGGGGTCCCACAAGGGTGGGGGAGTGCAGAGAAATGAAAAGCTGGACATGTGGGCCCCAGGGATGGGGGAAGGGATCAGGCCTGACAGTAAATACAGAGGGGAGATGTTTCCACTCACTGTGCATCGGGGACACAGCCATTCACCATTGGGAATGTCAGGCAGGGGAGGGTTTAGACAATGAATGTGGTAGGAGGAGATGCACGCGTCACAGCACAGGAGCTCCCCGCCGTCCTTGCATACGCGGCAGTACTCCATGTGATCATCCTCCTCCTCCTTCTCCCCTTCTTCCTCTCCCTCCTCTTCGTATTCTTCTTCTTCCTCCTTGGCCTCCCACTGGACCCCCTCCTTCTCCTAGGGGGCCAAGGATAGACACACAGACAGATGGAAGAAATTAAGGAATGAAACTGGAAGATACAGGCAAAGACAGGACACCTGAATCCTAGAAGTGCAGAGAAGACTGGTGGGAACTAAGGAAAAGGACACTCCAGTTTCAGAAATGTTGATTGTGGGAGAAAGGAATACATTAGGATCCTAGACACTCGGACATCTGTTACTAAGAAGTCCAGCCATCTGGGGGCAGGAAGAGGGTAAGTGAAACCAAGGGGGAAAGAGATGGGTGGGTTCCTCAGGGCCATCAGATGCTGGCATTAGGTACTCACACAGTGAGGGCAGCTCCATTTGCCCTCTGGAGCCCGGTCAAGCTCAGGATCAAGGCAGACGAGGTGGTAGGCACGAGGGCAGGTGTCACACAGAATAATTTCCCCACCCTGCTGGCACACCTCACAGTAATCCTGGTGATCCGTCTCGTAGCCATCAACCTCCTCCTCCCCGGCCACTGCAGGACAGCCCAGGACTGTCATATACCCCGGTGGAGGGATAAGGAAGCAGGGCAGGGGGAGATGGAGAGAGAGAGGGAGAAGGGTTGAAGAGAGAAGTCAAAATTGAAAATAAGAATGAGAGGACGGCCCACTGACAGGATCACACACAGTCAACACTCCTTACCCTTCTTCTTCTTCCTTCCTGGCCGGCCTCTCTTTAGTTTCTTGGTGCGGACAGGGCCATCAGGCCGGCCTGAGGCACTGTGGACACTGCCACTGTCCAGGTCTGATTCCTCAGCCTCTGGTTCAGGACCTTCGTCGCTCTGAAAAACATACTGCCCATAGCCCCGTGGCCGTCAGTGAGGCAGACTTCATTCTACGCCCTCCCCAGGCCTTTGGCTTCCTGTTCCGCCATCCCTCACGGATCCCTGTCTCTGGATCCTTGGCCCTCACGGATCCCTGTCTCTGGATCCTTGGCCCCCAGGTGTTTAGTAGACAGGGACGGGTCACTCACCGAGCCTCCTTTCTTCCTCTTGCCACCCAGAAGCCCTAGTTTTATTTTGAGTGGTGCCATTTTCTTTCCCCGAAGCTTCTTGCGTCCATCAGGCACTCGGGGGCTCTTACTCCGCCTCTTATGGCCTGGACCTGAATGAGGAGTCGGGGTGAGAAGAGGAAAAAGGAGAGGTCATGACATCCTGGAATTATGGAGGTCACAGGGGCCTCTGGATTCCTCTGTGGGCTGTGGTTTCACTAAGCCCCACTTCCTGGAAAGCATCTCTCCTCCAGCAATCAGGGCTGGGAAGGCGAGAGTTCCAGACTCTAATGTGAAGACATGCAGTTTGGAAGGTGAGATGACAGTTGTTGGAAGAGAGTTCCCTACCTTTGCCCTCTTTGGTTTTGGCTCTTCGGATGGGTGGGGGCTGGATATCAGCAGCAGGGGGTGGTGGAAGGGCGGGGGGTCCGGAGGGTGCTATGGGGGTGGCCGACGAGACAGCAGCTGACACCTGCTCAGCTACAGCTGCTGCTGCTGCTGCCGCTGCCGCCGCCACAGCAGCTGCTGACCCCTTGAAGGGGTTGTTGGCACTGAACTCTCTCCATTTGGCCCCAAGGATGGTCATCATCTTAGACATTGGGATCTTAGGATTCTTCTTAGCAATTAGGGGCCTGTAAATATAGAAGCAGAAAACTCGGACCCTTCACAGATGGTCTGGGAACACTGCCATCTCCCCTCATCAATTAAATCTATGTACATGCTAGGATTCCTGGGTGGTGAGAATATGTCCTATTAGGAAAAACAGCCATTTAAAAAAATAAATAAAAAGAAGTTTAAAAAAAGCGGGGAAAGAACAGGTTTAAAAAAGCATTAAAAAAGAAATACAGGCCAGGCACGGTGGCTCATGCCTGTAATTCCAGGCTGAAGCAGGAGGATTGCTTGAGCCCAGGGCTATGAGATAAGCCTGGGCAACAAAGTGAGATCCTGTCTCTACAAAAAATTAAAATAAAAAAAAATAATTAGCTGGGTGTGGCAGCACCTGAGGCTGAGGCAGGAGGGTGGCTTGAGCCCAGGAGTTGGAGGATATAGTGAGCTATGATCACACCACTGCAGTGCAGCCTGGGTGACAGAATGAGACCCTGTCTTTAAAAAAAGGGAAATAGGCTGGGCGCAGTGGCTCACGCCTGTAATCCCAGTACTTTGGGAGGCCAAGGTGGGAGGATCACGAGGTCAAGAGATGGAGACCATCCTGGCCAACATGGCGAAACCCCGTCTCTACTAAAAATACAAAAATTAGCTGGGTGTAGTGGTGCGCACCTGTAGTCTCAGCTACTCGGGAGGCTGAGGCAGAAAAATTGCTTGAACCTGGGAGGCAGAGGTTGCAGTGAGCCAAGATTGCGCCACTACACTCCAGCCTGGCGACAGAGTGAGATTCCATCTCAAAAAAAAAAAAAAAAAAAGGGGAAATAAAAAACAGCGAAATAAAACTTAAAAGCATAAAAGGTTAAAATAAAATCAACAAAAATGCTTTACTTTTGTATACTACTTTACAGTTCATAAAACCCTTTCACATACATTCCACCTTATCTTGTCCTCACAATAATACTCTTGAGTTGCTATGATTCTCTGCATTTTACTAGTAAGTTCCATGGGCCCTGAAGATGGGCTTCCGTAGGACGGAGTGTGAAAGAGTCAGACCATGCTGGTTCTGCTCTGGGGTGGGGTGCTCAACTCTTGTGCGGACACGGGTGATCCATGGTGCTGAGAAAAGCCCCAAGTTCAGCAGTAAGGTAGGTGAGACAACGTTACTAATGACAGTCACCAGTTACTGAATGCTCCCTAGGAGCCAGGCACTGACGGTACTGTGCTTTCCATTCATTATCCCACCAAACCCACACAGATTCCTATGAGGTATATATTATTATTCCCCGTTTATAGAAGAGGAAATTGAGGATTGAAGAAGTTCAGTCACTTGCCCAAAATGTAACCAGATGTGAACCTCAGCAGCTGCCTCCAGAGCACTGAACTGATATGTTAAAGTGCCTTCTCCCCAAAACAAAATACATCGGCACTATTTTTTCTTTTTTTTTTTTTGAGACGGAGTTTCGCTTGTTGCCCAGGCTAGAGCATAGCAGTGGTGTGATCTCGGCTCACTACAACCTTTGCCTCCCGGGTTCAAGCGATTCTCCTGCCTTAGCCTCCCGAGTAGCTGGGATTACAGGCATGTGCCACCACGCCCAGCTAATTTTTTTGTATTTAGTAGAGACGGGGTTTCACCATGTTGGATGGGCTGGTCCTGAACTCCTGACCTCAGGCGATCCACCTGCCTTGGCCTCCCAAAGTGCTTGGATTACAGGCATGAGCCACTGCACCTGGCCCATCTCTGCTATTTTCTACTCTACTATTCTCTACTTTTCTTCAGGAGCCACTGAAGCTCAGGTCCCACTGCCAGCAGTGGACCCTCCATTATTACCAGGGCCTAAGGAAGGGGCACAGGACCTGCTAAGTGAGCTAAGGAAGTTCAGGAACACTGATGGTATCTCTCAGGTCCAGTCTAGAGAGAAGTCACAGAGCAGAAGATGGAGCTGTTGGGGCAGGGGAGGGCTCACTATATTCTGTCCTCACTTTATTCTGTTGCTAAAGAGTTCTCTAACCCAGCACTGGAATCATGATGGCCCCTCCACCCCTCGCCCCTCAGTGAAGAGTTCTCAACTGGGGTTCTTGGATCCTTATGAGTCTAGGAGTTCCCTGAAATGACGTGTAGAATTTGGTGTGTATACACCGTGAATTCTCTGGAGAGCAGTTTCATAGCTTTCATCAGATTCCAAGGGGTCCAGGACCTCCCTCAAATTAAAAGTGTCAATTAGCGAGGATTCCCCAGTCTTACCGCACCTCATGAACTGGCTGAAGGCTTTGTAGTTGGTGAGCGTGTGGTAATCCTCCTCAGAGAACACATGCTCCACATCCTCCAGGCCCCAGGTCAGAAGCAGAGTTGCTGATGACTTCTGTTCCACTTGCTGCGGGAGAGGGGCTTTGGTGAAGTAGGTGCTCCTCCAGCCCCTATTCCAGGCCGCACACAGGCCTGTCTACCTACCCACTAGCTTCCCTGGGCTTTCTTGCTTCTTGCCCCATTCTCCAGTCCAGTCTCCATTCCTCCCCTCCTCATGCCCGTCTTTAATGCAGATTTCTCACTCTCATTCCCTAATTCTACTCACCTTTTGCCCCCCATCTCCCTCCCCCTTTTTCCGCCGCTTTGTCTTCTTCTCCTTTTTTTCTCGGTGCTTCCTTCTTCGTTTCCGACCCGGTCCGGTTCCATATTCACTGCCCCCACTCTCTGACTTCTCCCGGTACTCATCTCGCTCAGAACCAAATTCCTCCTCACTGTCCTAAGAGAAAGAAATAAAAATAACATTTATTCATCCCTACCATTGCCAGAAACTGTTCTCAGCACATACCATATCTTACCTCTTTTAATCTTCACAACAATCCTGTGATAGTAACTAATTTTTTATCTCCTTTTTTTTTTTGGAGATGGAGTCTTGCTCTGTCACCCATGCTGGAGTGCACTGACGTGATCTCGGCTCACTGCAACCTCCACCTCCCGGGTTCAAGCGATTCTCCTGCCTCAGCCTCCTGTGTAGCTGGGATTACAGACGTACCACCGCGCCCGGCTGATTTTTGTATTTTTAGTAGAGACGGAGTTTCACCACATTGGCCAGGCTTGTCGCGAACTCCTGACCTCAAATGATCTACCCGGCTCAGCCTCCCAAAGTGCTGGGATTACAGGCGTGAGCCACTGCAACCGGCCTTTATCTACTTTTTACAGATGAGGAAACTAAGGCACAGAGAGCCAAATAAACGGCCTGGTATCCTAGACAGAGGAATGCTGGACTCTTGAATTCATACAGTCTTCCAGAGCTTGTGCTTTCAACTGCTTCTCTTTGCTGCTGAGGACACACTGACAACGAGGCTCTTCACTAGGTTGCAGTGAATGAAGTTAGGGTCCCAGATCCCTGAGATACAGGCCAACAGTGGCAGGGAAGTGGGGGGCCCGGGGGATCAAGCCTCCCTGGCTTCAGAACCCCACCCCCACACCAGTAATCAGGACCAGAGAAAATGTAGGTCTCTGAGAATGGGTCTCTTGAGCCTTGCCACAGAGTTAGGAATTCTTGACACTTACACGCTTCTTGCGTTTTCGGGGTTTTCCTGGCTTGTTCTCCTTCTGCTTCTTGGGTCCTCGTTTTCTCTTCTTCACACCCAATGCTGACGGCAGCAGCCGAATGTCATCCTTATCTTTGAAGCAAAAAGCATCAGAAAACCTAAGCCTCTAGGTTTCCAGCCTCTGAGGCCCCTCAACTTGCCCCTTCCCCACCTCGGCAGTTCCCACTCTCTAGGAAGCATTAACTCCTCCAAGCCCTGCCTCCCTTCACTGGATGCAAACAGAAAGTGTTTCGAGTACTCTGGGATGCTCTGGTTCTGAATGGGAGGTCAGGGGTCAGAAGAGAAGAGCAGCCAAACCACTCCCCTCCCTCCCCTCCTACTAACAAGAGACCAGGCTCCAGGCCATGGGCTCTGACTGTGGCAGGTCCTTTCAGTCACCGCCAGGGCTCCTCCTGCCTTCCCCCTCACTTCGCCAGCTGGCATCCTGCCCAGGAACTGGGGAAGCCATGCCCAGCTGCTGGCCTGGCCTGACCCCAGCACTTGGAGTGGGGAGACACAAGCTGGCAGCTCCCTAAGCCAGATGCTGGGGAGGGAGAGCCAAAGGTGGACACCTGGGTTCTCACACTAACACCCTGGGGCCCTGACATCCTTTTGCCAAGAGGGAGGCCTCTATTTACATTTCCTCGGATAATTACCAGGCATCCTGTCACCCCAACACAGTCCTGGAGGAAAAGAAATCCTCAGCTGGTCATTTTTACTTCTTGCCCACAGGATCACAGTGTCTGCCGCCTTCATCACACAGGAGAAAGTCTCCACAATTACCTAAATATTCCTCCTCCCAAGTAGCCTAAAACCTACCTTCAATTCTATTCCCATCTCCCTGCTCCCTTTGGGAACTAGGGGGCCATACCCTTTGTTTCCCGATCTCACCCTTCACCTCCATATTTTGTTCCAGATATCCTGACCCATTCATCTATACGCAGTATGGGAGACCCAAACAAAGATATAGGCACAGACAGACACACCCAGCATATGCCTTCTCAAAAGCACGCGCGCGCACGCGCGCACCCACACCCACACACACTCTCAGGCCCACAAATCCAGAGGATGGCCTGTACCTGCTTCAGCAGGGATAGGTCCCTGGCTTTCTCCCCAGATGTCTCTGCCAGAGGACCCCAGGCCCCCCACCCCATTATCTGTGAAGGTGTCACTCTGTGAAGGCTTGGGGAACGGAACGGAGAGTTACCCCACATAAAGGAAGACAGGATGCCCCACAGACCTGGGGCCCTGGGGCTCTGGTTCACGTCCCTCCCCTACCAAGCACTAGACTAACCAGCCAGACCTGTCTAGTACAGAGAGAGGCAGCCGATGCAAGATGGGAAAGCCTGGGCTTGGCCCAGCCCCTAGCTCTAGGACACACAATCCTTTCTCCTTCCCTCAACAGCCAACGGAAAATTAGCCACAATTAACACCAGAGGCCTCCGTTTCCACTGCCTCAGAGTCGCTGCCTCGCCTTCCTTCAGTGCCACCTTTCCTGCTAACTCCAGCATCCTGTGTCCCCTTGTGCAGGAAGACACTCTAGGACTGTGTGCGTGTGTGCAGGGGGGTGGCTGCCAGAGCCCGGGTGTGAAACGGAATGGGGACTGTAATAGGAAGTCAGCAAGGAAGGCGCCATGCCCCAGCAGCCGGCTCCCCCTGGCCCCAGGGACTTCGGTTGACTTGAACATGGAAACGCAGGCTGCCGAGGCAGTGGCAAGGGCAGGCCAACTGGCTAAGGTTCAGGGACACGGCCTCGGCCACCACCAGCCAGGGGTGGTGCACAAGCCGGTTCACTCTACTCCCCACCCCAGCGGGAGGTTCCCGAACTTGGGCAGGCGTCGGTGGCGGGAGAGGCAAAGCGAGAACGGCAAGGAAAAGCAAGGAAGGGTAATAAAGCAAATCTAAGTCCCAACCTCGGTCTCAGCAGCCACTCAATGCTGGCCTGGAGCCCAGACTCTCCCACATCCCCGGCTCGGATCTCAGGGAGGCAGGGAGGAGAGAGGCGGGGGCCGGAGGGCGCAGGGCGGAGCCTGGCCGCCCGAGCAAGCGGGAGGAGTCTCGGCCGAAGCCTCGCCTCCCGCCCGCCCCTCTCTTCTTCTAATCTCACCATCAATCTCTCACACATATATTTATTTTTTCTCAAATTCCCCTCCCTCCCCCACAACGCACCACCATAATAGGTCTGCTGCACATGCGTACTGCAGGCAGGGGGTGGGTTTGTATTTTCAGACCTTTTGCAAAGAAACTACCAGAATTTTCCGCACCACCCACAATCATTCCCCACCCCCACCCCCAAGGAATCACATCTATATATTATGTTATATTATTTCTCTCGACTTGCCAGAAGGGGGAGGGAGAAGAAATGAGTTTTTGGCTTCCTGCTCCCTTCCCCCACCAACACGACTGCTATTATTTTAAACGTTTAACAATGTAAGGAGACTGGAGAGAGGGGGAAGGGATAAAATTGGTCTTGAGTAAGAATGTAAAACAAAATGGTGAGAATCAAAGCAGTCGGAATGGAAAACAATGGAAATCTCTCCTGTGCACAAATGCATACTCTAGACAAGGAAGAGCGAGGGCAGCCTGAACAAATTTCCTTAGAGGAGGGTTCTTTTCCCCACACTTAGGTAGACAGAAATAATGAGTGTGCTAAAAATAATTTCCCGAAGTTTTACCTCCGAAAGTCATCTGAGGGGGTGTATCTGGGTCACTCATTCGACTTGGAGGGCTGAAAGGGAGATAAAAATTGCCCAGGGGGAGAGGGGAGGTGGGTTTTCATTTCAGTTGTAAAATGTAAGCAGCCTCTGACGTCTCTTCTGGTCTATTCAGAAAGCCAAGAGGGAAAGGGGAGGCCGGGTTGACACAAAGACCCATCTCAACCTCGGATCCTTTCACGCTTCTCTCCCCAACGTACCCAGATCCGGGACCCACACCACCCCACCCCAGACTCCAAGTCCCAATACAAATAGGTGAGCGCTGCCAAGCCCCTGGCAGGACCTGACGGCCTTTCTTTCCCTCTTTTCAGCGCCTCTGCCGGAGGCAACCCCAAAGGCACCCTCTCCCCACAACTCCTCATTCCTCCTCCTCCTGCCAAGGCAGGGGGCTCTCTGGGAGAACTTTTTCAAAACTTTACCCTTTTTCAGACAAGCTTGGGGGGCGGGGAGACTTTATCCAGTTTCCAGGAGACACACATCCCTCCCCGACCCACAAGAAAGCACCCCCCGCTCCCCCAAAGGTCGTCTCGGCTAGACAGGAACGTTTGCCACAGAAGCCACACGGATCAATATGACAGTTTTACAAAGAGCCCGGAGTTGGCCGTTTTGAAGTTTGGTGCATTTGTGCCGCATGGCAGCCAGAGGCCCGGGGGTGCGGAGGTCCCCCTGCTGTTCCCCAAGCAGGGGGTGTGGACACCCAGATGCTCACCTATCCCAAAGAAGACTAGAAATCACTCCACTAGGAGGGTGGTCTGAGGGGGACACCGCTGGGCGCCTGACGCGGCGCAGCGGTCTGGAGAGCGCCGCCCAGAGAGTGCCGCCGGGTGACTTGTCACCTCGGGGGACGGGTGCTGAGTGATGGTCAAGCTGCAGAACAGCTGGGTGGGCAGTTCACGCCCCCCAACGTGCTCAGGGAGTGGGTGGTTTCAGCGAGAGAGTGAGTGACAGTGAATGGCAGCCACGTGAGAGTCACAGCTGGGCAGCTTGGCCACCCCAGACTGACGGGGTCAAGAGGGGGACCCCCCCCACCGCACTTGACACAAAAGAGCCCAGAGCCCCGGCGAGATGAAGGGGGTGGAGCCGGGGGTATCTGGTTCCCCAGACACTCTTCTCTCCGCTCCCCAATCCGAATGGACTGCTGTCCCTGCACAGGCTGGGGGAGCGAGGGGACGAGCTCCTGCCTTATTCCAGGAAGTGGTCTGCGTGGACTGTGGCCACCACCTGCCCCTACTCATCAGCAGCCCACAAACATTCACAAGACCCCTCCCTCGCGTGCCACCGCATGCCCCTCAGTTGGCGGGCACCTAAGTCTCCGCGGGTGGAGGGGGGTCCGATGGACACCGTCCCCACTCTGCCTGTCCAAGTCCTGAGCGGAGGGGGCAGGCCCGTCGGCTGCTCCGTGCGGGGAAACCCCACTCTCCCTCGGTCCAACCCCACCGGGGCCAGAGCCCGAGGGGCGCTCGCGCGGCCGCCCCTCCCCCACGTGCCCCTCCCCCACGCCGCCGTCCGGCCGCCAGGGTCTCGGCGGTCCCTCGCTCGGCCAGGGAGGGGGCCCTGGCTTCGCCTTGGCCGTTTCCTGCCTACCCCCTCCCCGCCGAGGGTAAAAAAAAAACCTCCTCCTCCTCCTCCCCCGAAAGCCGCGACCGAGTGGCCCGGTCCGCGCGCGCAGCTCGCGCCCAGCGCTCTCCAGCCGGGGTGGCGGCGGCGGCGGCGGCGGCGGCGGCGGCGGCGGCGGGGGAGGGGTGCGGCGGGGGAGGGGAGGAGGCCTGGCCCCGCGGTCGCAGCCGCCACCGCCCGCCCCGACCTCCCGGACCGCCGCGGGGCCACGGGCCCGAGCCCCGGATTCGCGCTCCGGATTCGCCTCGGCTCGGCCGCGCGGTGGGTGCCTCGCCCCCGCCCGGCTTCGCGCGCCCGCGGCTCCCACTCGGGCTTGGGGGGGGAGTCGGGGCGGGCGCTTACCTGGCGGCGGGGGCGGCGGCGGCGGGGGCAGCGGTGGCGGCGGCGGCGGCGGCGGCGGGAAGAGGTGGCAGCCGGGGGGGCTGTGGCGGTCGCGGCCCCGGTCGTGGCCCGGCCCGCGCCCGAGTACTCCCTCGTCGTCGTCCTCCTCATCGTCCTCGTCGGCCGCCTCCACCTCCTCCTCCTCCTCCTCGTCGCCCTCTTCTTCCTCCTCTTCTTCCTCCTCCGACACCACCATCTCCTCCTCCTCCTCCTCCTCGTCCCTCAGAGGGGAAGCCATCCTGTGGCTCTGGCCCCCCCACCACCCCCCCACCCACCGCCCGCCCGCCTCCCCCACCGCTACCACCACCACCTCCTCCTCCTCCTCCTCCTCCTCCTCCTCCTCCTCCTCGGCGGCGGCGTCCTCCTCCTCCTCACCGCCTCCCCCAGCCCCCCAAACCCCCGGGCCACCCCCCTCCGAAACCCCCACCCTCGGGGCCGCCGTCTGAGGAGGGGGGCCAAACCACCCCCAAAAATTGTCTTGGAAAAAATTGAGGAAAGACTTTTTTTCCTTCTCTCTTTCCTCCCAAGAGAACAAGAAAGGGGGATTTAAAATATATATATATATACATATATATATATATATATATGTATATATATAAAAGTTTTCGACTTCTCTCTGCCCCCCTCTCCGTTGCTTTAAATATATTTAAATTCTGAGGGGGGCGCTCAGAAATATTTCTCAGAGCTGAGGCACTAAGATGGCCGCCTTGAAATTATTTTTAAAACAACCCCCCCTCCAGCACCGCCACCCCCTCCATAAAGAAAGGGAGAGGGGGGAAAATCCCCTTTTCAAACAAAATGGCTGGCTTAATATTTCATTTTTCACCCCCCCATTCTCCTCCCTGTTACACCCCCATCTCCAAGCCTTTACCCAGAAACCCACAAATTTCTCCTTTTTCATAACTGATTAGTGCACAGATTAATAGAGATATTTTCCTTGTGTACTGAAGTGTGTGTGTGTGTGTGTGTGTGTTGGGGGGGCATGAAGGATTTCTGCATAAAACAAAAATGGCTGCTGTGACTAACTCCCCCCTTATAAAAAATATTTGAGGGGGGGCATTAATCAGTACTCATGCTCAGTCTGACATCAGCATAAATTGTTAAAGGTTAACTAGTTAGATACTAGTCCAACTAGATTTAATTTTTTTTATTTTCTTTACTAGTCTCTTCCTCCCCACCTCCCTTCTCTAAAGAAAAGCTTTTTTTTTTTTGAATACTTCAGAAGGGAGTGGTTTGATGTGAAGGTTTTTTTCCCCTTCAGGCATTGAAAAGGAAAAAGATGAAATATATGTTTATATATAACTCTGTTTCTACATACCTCATTGAAGTCACAACGCATTTAATTGTGTACATATCTTTTAAATGAGAAGCGGGACTGGATTTTTTTCTGCTTTCTTTAAAAAAAGTGATAGAAATCCTAGTGACTTTTGGGGGAGAGATATGAATAGATACGATGATTGAGTTTTTTTCAAAGGAGTCCATGTTTGATTCTCCCCTTTACCCAGCCTTTTCAGTGATTTATAATTGTTATAAATTTTATCTTTACTCTTTTCCCCTTTCCCTCGCTTTCCCCTCCTCCAATTGTTAGAATGTAAAATTCAACTGACTTGAGAAATTAATTTGGGGGGTAAACAACAAATTTTTAGGATAAAGAGGAAAGAGTCAAATCTGAAGATCGTGAAATTATGTTCTCTTTTCTTCCGTTTCAGTATATTTGCCTTCCCTCCATGATCTCCAACACTATCCGATAAAGTAGAAGCAACTGAGGTACCGTGAAAGAGAAAGGAGCTGGAACTGAGAAAAAGCAGAGGTAGGGGTTATACCCAGGCGTTTTCATCTAACTTTCTGACCTGTGATTTCCAACTGTACCCCAGTGTTTATGGTAAAGTGGTACCAGGAATTGGACAGTTGGAAAGGAGTCCCAAAGTAGCTTTCTCATACAGAGATTTGCCCAGAGAGGTCTAGACAGAAAATGATCCTTGCCAAATGGAGCAAAGGAAGGAGGGCAAATAGCTCAGTTCTACCCTCTTTCATTCTTGTTGACCCTTTCTTACTCTAGCTTCCTCCCATTCCTTTGATCTCCCTTTGCCCCTTCCCTTGCTTCCCATTCCATGCCTGTGGAATCATTTCTCTCTGGGTTATTCCTCTACCTCTCCAGTGTAACTGCTGGCCACCCATCTTCGGCGGTGCTCAGGAGCACCCTGAGAGGGAGGGGTAGGTGGGCAGCAACCAGAAAGTATTAGTGACTGGGAAGATGACGCACATTTTTGTTTATGAAGCTAAAATGTTCTTTATTAATGTTCCACTCCCCACACTAATGCACTTTATTGGGTGTTGGTTTCCATCTCTTTTTTTTTTAACCTGGCCTTTGGAATTCTCTTGCTTTGGTTCCCACATCATTTCTGTACTAAGTCTAACTCCTCCTCCTTTTCCAGTTTTCCTGTCGATTTTGCTCTCTTGTCTTCTTTCTCTGTCCCTCTTTACTAGTTCATCTGGTTATCCCCCCCTTTCTATATTGTGGGCTTCTCTCTATTTATGTCTTTGTTTTTAACTGAGACTATCCTTCTCATCCCTTGGACCCTCAGGCTCTGTCACCTCTACGTGACTTTCCATCTCTGTCTTCTTTCTGCTTACTTCTGTCTTCCAGTCTCTGACTGTGTGTGGCTCTTCCTCATGTGTGCCTGACTCCCCCTCTTTCTGGCCCCTTCTGTGTGTGTCTGTGGATCATACTGTGTATGGGAAGTGTCTCCACGTGTATGTGGGCCACACTGCGCATCATGTGCGCCGCAGCCTCTCTGCCTCTGTGCCCTCTCCCTATACTGAGAGCCTCTGCTTGCCACATGTGCCATGATCTGCAGGTGCGGGTGGCTAAAGGTGGCCGTGTGCATCCCTATACAAACACTCATCATTCTCTCTCTTGAGTGTGCTTTGCATGTGGATTTGCTAATTTGCCTTATTCTCCCTCTCATCCATCCTCCCTTTTGCCTGTCTGCATCTCTTTCTGTTCTCTCTCTCTCTCTCCTGACCTCTTGATTTTTCTTCTTCTCTCCTTATTTCTGCCTCTTTACCTGCTTGCTCCTGTTATGGTGTCTGCCTGCCTGCCTGTCTGCTCCTCCCTGACTGGCTGGCAGCCTCTTTTTCCTCTCTGGTTGTCTGTCTGCTTCTCTGGCTGTTTGCCCACCACTCTCTCTCTAGCCATCTGTCTC
Organism: Homo sapiens; assembly: GCF_000001405.40. NCBI lineage: Eukaryota > Metazoa > Chordata > Mammalia > Primates > Hominidae > Homo > Homo sapiens. Next base: position 7,881,838 of record NC_000017.11, on the reverse strand, counting down.
CCCGCCTGCCTGTCTCTATCACTTTTTTAGCCTGCATCTCTCGGTTTGTCTACCTTCCAGGCCCTGCCACGGCTCCCCATCTTGGTTTGCCTCTTCTCTTGCCCTTCTGCTTGTTCCTTCTCTTATTTGTGCCTGTTAAGTTCCTCCTTTTCCCTTGCCTCCCTTTAGATCTCTCTTGCCTGTCTACCCTGTTTGCTGCTATCCCACCGTTTCAGGCTTTTCTCTCTTTAGTCTTCATACTTACCAGCTTTTTCTTCCTTTGCTTCTTCTCTGCCAACTTCCATCAATGAGGATAGTCTCTCTCCCCTAAACCTCTCAGTAACCCCTTTGCCTCAAAGTCTTATCTAACTTCTTGCCACATCCCCTACCCTGCCTTCTCTCACGTTTGCCTTTATTTCAGTTATCTCTTTTTCTGTCTTTCTGGTTCCTCAGACAGTCTGCCTGTCTCAGTCTTTTTGCCATTTTCCCAGTCTCTCGCTGCCTTCCTGCCTTTTTGCTGTCTGCTTGGCAGGCTCTTGCTGTCCACGTCTCTTCTTGCTTTTCTCTCTTCTTTTGTTTCTTTTTCCAGTTAACTTCTAAATAGGTAGTACATACTTATGGTACAACATTTTAAAAGTACAGAAAGTGTACTGTGAAAAGTAAACCTGTCTCCCATCCTTCTCCCCTAGTCCCGGAGTTCCTCTCCTCAGAAGCAGCCACTGTTTCACATTTCCTGGATACTGCTCCAGAGAAAAGTCTACACATATACAAGTCTTTTTGCTTGCTTGCTTTTGCTTGTGTTTTGCTGTACTCCTCCCTACTTTTCTTCCAGTTTTTCTGGATGCTCCTTCCTCTGTCAGTCTGTCAGTACTCCTAACTAACTTGGCTGGGCTTGCCATCTCTGGTCTTTTTGATTCTACCAAGTGTTACCCAAAGCACGTGTCTTTTGGATTGACTAGTTACTGGTTGCATGCGTTCACTACCAGTACTTGAGGAGTGCTCAGGAAGGCTTTACTCTCTCCAAATGTAGTCTACTCTGCATGGTAAGTGGTCTGATGCCAGCAAGACATCTTTGTTGGTCGCTTCATCACTGAAATGTGTATTGGAGAAGGCATGAAAGCACCGGTAGTACTAAAAAGTACCCTATAAATATAGGCACTGTTAATAAGTAACAGTAAGCTGAGCTTACATGCACACAGAGTAGGTAGAGGACTGCCCTGCTTTCTCACTTAGTCTATATGAATTCTGTAAGGTCATGTGAATCCAGATCCTTTAGGTTGTCGACCTAGGCCTAAGAAGTTTGTCTTCCTCCTAGTCTAAAAAGCTTTCTCCTGATTAAAGCCTTCTGGCTCCACTCACATGCCACCTTAGAGACATTTTATAACTCTTTGAAGGAGACAAAGACACAACCTCTAACCAGGTCTCTTTGAAAAAGATGATAATAAAACTTCTACACACAATGCACTGTTCTTTCATTTCTGCTTTTTTACTGCCTGTTTTCCTGAGTTTAACTGTTTCAGCCTCTATCTTTGTGTCTCTCCACTCTTTCCCTCTTTCCCTCTCTTACTTCTCTTTTCTTGGTTCTTTCTTCTTATCTGTCTGTCTTGATCTCTATTCTAGCCTCTTTTTCTGATTGGCCCTCTCCCCTCTCTTCTGTCTGATTGGCCTGTATCCTTCCATCACCCCATCTGTCTGCTGGATTCTCCCTGTCTGCCTGCAGTAATGTATGTGATAGCACTTTATAAATTATAAAGCACTATGTTGTATAAAACACCATTATCACTTTGTCTTCCTTCTTACCTTATTTTTTCTTCCTTTATCTGTCTTCCCTTCTTCTCTCTTTCTCTCTCTCTCTGTTTGCCTGTCTGCATCCCTTTTGGTGATTTTGCCTGCCTTCTCTGTCAGTCAATCTCCATTCCCTCCCTGCCAGCCTATTTTTCTGCCATCCCTCTTCTCTGTCTGCTCAGTTCTTGCATCTCTCCTTCTGTGTTTCCAGGTTTCTCTATATTTCTTTTGCCTGTGTAGTCTCTCTGTCGTTAGGCCTTTTATCTATGCCTGTGTGTCTCACTGTCTAGCTGCTTGTCTCCCTGCCTGTCACTTTCATTGTGGGGCATCAGTCTCTGCCTTCTTCTGTCTTTCAGTACTTCAAAAAATAAAAATTAAATAAAAAATTTAAATTCCTTATGATTAATGGGTACAGGAGAATATTTTTTTTGTTTTAATGAGAAGACTATTAAGGTGAGAACAAAGAACTCAAATATTCAGCTGTGAAATGCAAATGAAGAAAAATTTTTAAGGGACTCTCAAGCCAAGAATAAGATTATTTAACGCAAAAGCAAGAAACATATCTAAAGCAATAATTTCTAACCTTTTAGGATCGTAGAAAGTTAGAAACTTTCTCCAGAAAAAAAAAATACACACAAAATGTCACATATGTTTTCACGGTGTTACGAATACCCTGAAGTCTTGGACCCCAGGTTAAAACTCTGATGTAGGGAACCAGTGATAATCAGTGATAGAGCACAGACATGTACTCATACAACAAGCAGAGTAAAAGACTGAAAAAACACTTGCAATCTATGATTTTCTACCCAAGGATATGTTAAAGAGATTCCTAATTGTCTTTTGAAATATGTAGGTCAGTGATAATAATGAAAGGCATGTAAATACTCAGGATAGTCTAGACCTAATCATAGTATTTTAGAGATGGAAGGTCTTATAAATCAGTGGTTCTCAAATGGCTAAGAAAGGTTGCCACATGTCCTTTACTGGAAAAGTCTGTCCTTTATTCTGAGAGGATATATTTCTGATATATATTTTTACATAGAATAAATATAGTATACAGTATATTTATATAGGATAAATATATGTATATATGCTTATATTTTATGTTATAAATTATGTTACATATTATTAAACATATATACACATATACATATTTATAATGTTAAAAACTTCCTTTCTAAAGCTGAGATAGATCTGTATGGCAGAATGTGAGTAGATTTTAGTGGGGAAGGGGGAGGAAAAGAATAAGAAAATGACTTTTTATACTTACTGTACAATCTGAAAATTTTCAACATGTACTTCTTTTATAATTATACAACATTTTAAATAATTTTAAATATCTTTTTATGAGACGTAGTTTCATCCTTGTTGCCCAGACTGTAGTGCAATGGCGCGATCTCAGCTCACTGCAACCTCTGCCTCCCGGGTTTCAGCCATTCTCCTGCCTCAGCCTCCCGAGTAGCTGGGATTACAGGCGCGTGCCACCACCACACCCGGCTAATTTTTTGGATTTCTAGCAGAGGCGGGGTTTTACCATGTTGGCCAGGCTGGTCTCGAGCTCCTGACCTCAGGTGATCCACCTGCCTCGGCCTCCCACAGTGCTGAGATTATGAATTTTGTTGTTCTTAATGTCCTTACTCAGCACAATGAAAAGTCAGCAACCCCATGTTGATCACTAACTTTTTTTTTTTTTACATTTTATTGATCATTAAAATCTAAAAGTCTAGGATTTACTGCTTTAATCTAACCTGTTCTTGATTTTATCAAGGAGGAAACTTCAGTCCTTCATATATCATATTCATGATTTGCCATATCTATATATCAGCTATACCATTATATGCATACTATTTTTCTTTAAATCACTCACCTTTCTTTAACTTAAATGAATGTTCTTTAAAAGGTAAATTTTATATTGCTAGAAATAATATTCATAAGTCTTTAATTTGATACTGTAATTATGTTTTTCTTTCTAATTTAAAATGCAATATTGTTAAAATAAAAATCAATAAAAGTAAAAGCATCTTGCATGCTACTAATAATATAGGTACATATTTTAGAAAATATCACTTTAATCTAATTTTATAGGTATAGAAACTGGGGCCTAGATATTGAAAGGATTACCTAAGATCAAGTTAGTAGTTAGAGACAGAACCAGGACTTGAACTTTTATCTTTCGGTTTCCAATCTAGTGTTCTTCTACTATATACTACATGAGTTTTAAGTCAATGAGATGTCCTAGAGTTTTAAAGGACACTAATATGTGAAACTGATGGTCACATATATTACTGTTATTAACTATAACAACTATGCCACAAAACTAGCAAGGCCAATTTAATAGTATGTGTTATACTTATAAACTTAGTGTTTTTTGACACAGAGTTCCACTTCTCACCATTTATTATAGAGAAACAGTCACCATACTTATGCATAGGGTGACATTACAGAGCTATTCATTACAACACTGTTTGTAACAGCAAAAAACTGGAAACACCCTAAATCTCCAACAGTAAGGAATAGCTAAACAAACTACACAGCAGTTAAGAAAAAGGAGTTACTGGGGCACATGTTCTCAGGATTTCCTGGGGCTGTGTCGCAGGCCATTAAAAAGAAAAAGAAAAAAGAAAAATGAGTTACTTCTGTATGTAGAGACATGGTTAATATATTGTTGAATGGAAACAAGCAACTTGTAAAAAAAAAAAAAATGACATCATTTAGTTTATGTTTAAAGAAATTAAAACAATAATATTTTTACTGATACATTTATTTGGATTTAAATGCTTTTAAAAATGCTGGAAGTGTACATACCAAACTGGTAACATTGGTTACTTTCAGGAAAAAATAGTCAAGGGGGATTGTTTGCTTCATTGATAATTCTGAATTTTTACAATGAGAAAGTATTTATTATTTATGTAAACAAAATTAAGTAGCTTCATTGATTACGTTAGCAACTGGAGCCAAATGGGATAAAAAGTAGTATGACTTCTCTAAAGAAATAATTCCTCATGAATCTCTGGTTCTTTGAAGTGAAAAATGTGTAAGCAAAGTACAATCAGTAGATGTAATGTAGTTAGGGTTTTTAAAACATTAGTGAGGTTCCACTTTAAAGAATAATTAAAATATGAGAGGGAAAAAGGGAAAGTACAGAAGAGCATATATAACATGGTAACATTTATGAAAGAAAAAAATATGTGAATATCCATAGAATATTCCTGGAAGAATATACAGGAAACCACAGTAGTTGCCACTGGGAAGGGGAAATTATTTTTTAATTGTACATCTTATAAAGCAATTTGAAAATTTTTTAGTGATCAAGAGATTGACTAGGTGAAGGGAGGAGGGACATTTTTTGAGATAAAGACTTAAAACAGATATAAAAACCTAAGTAGCAGTATATGATTGTGATGATGGTTATGGGCTGTAAAATCAGCATTCAGAGAAGAAAGCTCTTTCTTGGTTGGGAGGGGGGAAGCAAGTAAATAACTTTCATATGTAGTTGCATTTGAGGTTAGCTCCCAAATAACTGAGATTTGTATAGCAAAGAGGAAGTAAAAGGGCAGTTTAGGTGGGATAAGAAAGAATTTAGTAGGTAGTATGTAGACCTCATATGGCTGGAGTGGTAAGTTCATGATAGGTTATAGTAGGAGTTAGTACCTCTTTAAAGGGTAAGAATTTTAGTATATCAAGTGAAGAGTAGAGGTCAGAACCTTGGGGGAACTTTGAAGGATGGAGTAGCCAAAGAAAAACAAGTTGTTCAAGTGTTAAGTGTACCAGGTAGTGTTGTTATGGTAGAGTAGGCAGACAGCTTCAGAAGGAAGGCATGATCATTGATACTAGATGCTTCGTGGGAATCAAGAAGAGTACAAACTGACAGTTCCTCAAAAAGTTAAATATAGAGCTACCATATGACCTTGCAATTTCAATACTAAGTGTACACCCAAGATAATTGAATCATATGTCCACACATAAAGTTGTGCATGAATATTCATAGAAGCATTATTCATAATAGCCAAAAAGTGTAAACAAAAATATCCATCAACTGATGAATGGATAAATATAGTATATCCATACAATGGAATATTATTCAGCCGTAAAAAGGAATGGAATACTGATACATGCTATAAGATGGATGAACTTTGAAAACATTATGCTAAGTAAGAGAAGTTAGACATAAAAGGCCACATATTATTTGATGCCATTTATATGAAATGTCCAGAATAGGCAACTAGTAGATCTGTGGTTGTGCAGGTTTCAGGGAAGGGAAGAATGGGAGGGACTGCTAATGGATATGGGGTTTCTTTTGGGGGTGATGGAAATGTCTGGAATTCTGGATAATGGTGATAGTTGCACAGCCTTGTGAATATACTAAAAACCCCTGAATTCACTTTAAAATGGTGAATAAGGTATATTAATTCTATCTGAATTTCTTTTTAATACAAACCAGCCAATACAGTGACTCACACCTGTAATCCCAGTGCACTTTGGGAGGCCAAGAGAGGAGGATCGCTTGAGGCCAGGAGTTTAAGACCAGCCTGAGCAACATAGCAAGACTATCTCTACAAAAAAAGTTTAAAAATTAGCCAGGCATGGTGGCTCATGCCTGTAGTCCTACCTACTCAGGAAACTGAAGCAGGAGGAGAGCTCAGCCCAGGAGCTGGAGCCTGCAGTGAGCTATGATTACACCACTGCACTGCAGCCTGGGCAACACAGTGAGACTCTGTCTCTAAAAAAAAAACAGTACAAACCAAGAAAAGTATTGTACTTGTCATTTGGTCACCTTTAAAGCCAGTTTTAGTGAGGAAGTTAAATATCAATTAAAGATTGTGAGAAACCATTAAAATATTACTTATGGAGGGTTTTTTGTTTTGTTTTGTTTTGTTTTAGAGACAGGGTCTTGCTTTGTCACCCAGGCTGGAGTGCAGTGGCGTGATCACAGCTCACTGCAGCCTCGAACTCCTAGGCTCAAGCTTTCCTCCTCCCTCATCCTCCCAAGTAGCTGGACTACAGGCACACACCACCACAACCGGATAGTTTTAAAATTTTTTGTAGAGATGGGATCTCGCTGTGTCGTTCAAATTGGTCTTAAACTCTTGGCCTCAAGCGATCCTCCCACCAGTGGCCTTCTGAAGTGTTGGGATTACAGGTGTGAGCCACCACACCCGACCTAATTTTTTTTTTTTTTTTTTTTTTTTGAGATGGAGTTTTGCTCTTATTGCCGAGGCTGGAGTGCAGTGGCACAATCTTGGTTCACTGCAACCTCCACCTCCTGGTTCAAGCGATTCTCCTGCCTCAGCCTCCTAGGTAGCTAGGATTACAGGCGCCCGCCACCACACCCAGCTAATTTTTGTATTTTTAGTAGAGATGGGGTTTCACCATGTTGGCCAGGCTGGTCTCAAACTCCTGACCTCAAGTGATCCACCCACCTTGGCCTCCCAAAGTGCTGGGATTACAGGTGTGAGCCACTGCACCTGGCTAATTCTTTATCTCTACTGTTGCCTCCAGATTCCCTCATCTTGTGTAAGAAGCCCCTATTTCTTTAAGGCTGCAGCAGTCTTGCTGTGTGCTCCTTACCTTCTCTTCCTCAGTGTTTTCTACTTATCTCCTGACATTTCCTTCATTCATTGAAGACTGACATCTGGCTTAGTCCTGCCATCATCTTGGGTGACCTTAGGATCCACATGAATGATCTATTCATCACCCAGACTTTTTGGTCCCTTGATCCCCTTATTTCCAGAGACCTTTCTAGCCATCCCACTTCTGGCCCCATCTCTGGACTTCCTTTTGAAGTATTAAATTCAAACCCCCAACTTGGGCCACAACTTTCTATCCTTCTAGCCCCCTCATTTACTTCTACTCTGTTCTTGGACCCACCATGAGACAATGTAGTCCCTTAGCTCCTCATTTTCTCCTAATCAGCTATACCATCTTCACCTCTTTTCCTATCCAGCTTAAGTTCCATGGTCTATCATTTTAACCATGCTCCTGCCACTGTCTTGGTGCCCTCTTCTTATTTTCCTTCCTGCAAACCCCTGGCCTTGTATCACTTTGGTTGCTTGTTTACACCCAGGATGCAAAGGGCTGCTGAAGAAAACACCATGACCATTCAGACCAGTGTTTCTGTTCAGGAATCCTTTTTCCTAGTCAGCTTTCTTTTAGTTCTCCACAGTGACTTCCTCAAAACCTTCTCCTTACACTAGTTCATTTTAAAGAAAAGGATACCTATGTTCATTTTAATATCATAATGGATAGAAAATCTTATCTACTTCCAGGAGATAGATTATCATATGAGAACTCCCTTGAAATTCCAATACTCAACTACATGTTTAACTCTATCCATATTTGTCCTTTTATCCTGTCCTCCTGTCCTGTCTGAAGCTAATGCCTATACTTGGGCTCTTAGTCTCACCCCTGCCACCTTCTCAGGGACTAATGGTTAGCAGCGATCCTCTAACTCAGTCCTTTATTTCCGATTCCACTTGCTCTTTCCCAGTCACATTAAAATGTGCTCAAATCTCCTTATCTTTGAAAGAAATACTCTGGACCCCTTTAGCTGCCACCTTACCGCACTGTGTCCATTCACAGCCAAGCCTCTTGAAAGCATTAACTGCCCTCAGTGTCTACTTCCCTACTCATTTTCCAGCCCTCTGCCCCCACCACAGCTGCTTTCACCAAATTACCAACAACCTCCTGGTTGCTGAAAATCAGAGGATGTTCTTAGTTCTTCACTTGACCACCCCCTTTTTGAAAAAAAGAATTTGCTTGACGTCTGTAGTTTCGCATTCCTGGTTTTTCCCTTGCCTCTCTGGCTCCTCCTTGTCAGTCCCTGTTCAAAGAGGCAGTGCTGTCTGGATTAGTGGTCAGCCATGGTACTTAAGAACCTGGGCTTGGGAGACAGGTCTGGGTTCATATGCGGCTTCCACTTCTCAGAGTTTCAGTTTCTTCAACTAAAATGGCAACATATAAGTCTTTTTGTGAAGCCCTAATATTACCAAGTCAATGGAATTACCCTTTTAAGGTCGTTAGTACTGTGTTTGACACACAGTAAGCAGGCATGCACTAAACTCCCCTGACTCTCCAAGCTTATAATAGGTGCTCCTCCTATGTGCTACCATATTATCCTTTATCTTTCTCATTAGGCTCCAGAGAGGAGGGGCCCTGTCACCCTTCTCCACTGTCGTATCAGTCTAGCACACGGCCAGGCACACATTAGGCACCCTGGAAATACCTGTTGACTGCTTCAAGTGTTTAATATATGGCAAAGGTGATACTTTAAATCAGTGGGGCAAAGGATTATTGATAAATAATGATGCATAATTGATAAATGGAAAACTATTTGTGAAAATATAAAAGGTAGATCCTTACCATTTACTAAAGTAGTTTTCAGATGGATTAAATAGTGACATTAAAAACAAAAATTGCCCGGGCACAGCGGCTCAGGCCTATAATCCCAGCACTTTGCGAGGCCGAGGTGGGCGGATCACAAGGTCAGGAGTTCAAGACCAGCCTGACCGACATGGTGAAACCCCGTCTCTATTAAAAATACAAAAATTAGCCGGGCGTGGTGGCGCATGCCTGCAATCCCAGCTACTCAGGAGGCTAAGGCAGGAGAATCACCTGAACGCGGAGGTTGCAGTGAGCCAAGATTGTGCCACTGCACTCCAGCCTGGGCAACAGAGCGACTCCGTCTCAAAAAACAAAACAAAACAAAAAATGTAATTCTGCTCAATTCAGCAAGACCAAAAAATTTTTTAGAGAACTAGAATGAGATATAAAAAGTGTGGGTGAATATTTTCCTGATCTTGGGGGTGAAAAAGGCCTTAAGCGTACAACAAGCATCAACGTGGATGCTTTAAAGGAAAACGTGGATAGATTTAACTCAATGAAACTAAATTTTACTGTGTAAGAAAACATAAAGTTAAAAGACTAGCTAGGAAAATATTTGTGCCATTAATGACAGACCATTTTATTCAGTAAATACTGTGTGCTCTAATAGAGCTCAGAGATAACAGAAACTACTCTAGCTCAGAAAGATACTTTATCCAGGAAACCAGGGCTTACAAAATTATTGGAAGGGCCAAAGAAGAACTACAGACAGGGTTTCCAGAGTGACAAGAAGATTGTAAGGACAGGCTTGGTGGCTCACGCCTGCCATCCCAGCACTTTGGGAAGCCGAGGTGGGTGGGTCACTTGAGGTCAGGAGTTCGAGACCAGCCTGGCCAACGTGGTGAAACCCCATCACTACTAAAAATACAAAAAATAGCCAGGCATCATGGTGCGTGCTTGTATTCCCAGCTACTCGGAAAGCTGAGGCAGGAGAATTGCTTGAACTCGGGAGGCGGAGGTTGCAATGAGCCAAGATTGCACCACTGCACTCCAGCCTGGGCGACAGAGTGACTCCACCTCAAAGAAAGAAGAACGTTTTAGACCTGGCCCACCAGAGATCTACTTCCTATTTCTTCAGTGATCAAGAAGCTGCTGGGGTCGGGTACTGGCTCCAGGATTACTCCAGTATTGTATTACAGCAGGAGTAAGGGGGTATAAAGGAAGATAGCGAGCTAGTGTTTGTATTCTTGATGAAATAAAGATGTCATAGAAATCAACAATAAGAAAAAGACCAATAGAAAAAAAATACAAAAGTAGTAAAGTATATGTACAAAAGATGAACAATAGGATGATGATTGCTGACTTTTATTGAGTTTTACTCTGCATCCAGGAACTAAGTACTTAATATGTACTAACTCACTCACTCCTTTCAATAACCTTATAAAGTAGAAAGTATCCTAATACTCATTTTACAGATGAGAAAACAGACAAAGGGAGGTTAAATATCTTGCTCAAGGTCAGAGCTATTGAGAGGTGGGCATTTATGCCTAAACTCATGGACCACAGTAGACCTGAAAAAAGAAAATTAGATGATGTGATGGCTCAAGAATTGGACATTGTTAATAGCAATTGAGAAAGAAGCTGGCTTTAAGAGGCCATAATGAATTTGTTTCTAGATGTGCTTAGCTCGATATGATGGTGTGGCATCTTTTTAGAAAAATAATTTCTGGTTGGGTGTGGTGGTTCACACCTGTAATCTCCACACTTTGGGAAGCTGGGGTGGGTGGATCACTTGAGCCCAGGAGTTCAAGATCAGCCTGGGCAACATAGTGAGACCCCGTTTCTACAATTTTTTTTTTTTTTTTTGAGGTGGAGTCTTGCTCTGTCGCCCCCAAGCTGGAGTGTAGTGACACGATCTCGGCTCACCGAAACCTCCACCTCCCAGGTTCAAGCAATTCTCCTGCCTCAGCCTCCCGAGTAGCTGGGATTACAGGCGTGCACCACTGCACTGGGCTAATTTTTGTGTATTTTTTTTAGTAGAGACCGGGTTTCACCATGTTGGCCAGGCTGGTCTTGAACTCCTGACCTCAGGTGATCTGCCCACCTCGGCCACCCAGAGTGCTGGGATTACAGGCGTGAGCCACCGTGCCTGGCCAAAATAAATAAATTTTAAAATAGAAGTAACTCAACTTCTGAGCTATGGAATAGTTCTCTGTACCTCCAGTACCTAATAAAGAACCCAAATACTGCAATATATCTTTTCGATTAAAAGATTTTTTGTTTTTTAATTGATTAAAAGATTTTATCTGGTCTGCTCATCCTTCTATTGCTGCCTTTTAGCTAAATCCATTTCCTTGCTCTCACTGAGTAAGGAATATCATCTTAATCAGAAGGAGGAAGATGTAAGCCTAAAATTGTTGTAATTGTTGTCTTTGCCTTCTGCAAGTTTTTTAGATCTGCTTTTAAAAATTTATTTTATTTTATTTTATTTTTAAGACAGAGTCTTCCTCTGTCACCCAGGCTGGAGTGCAGTGGCATGATCTCAGCTCACTGCAGTAACTGCCTCCCAGGCTCAAGCAATCCTCCCACCTCAGCTTCTGGAGTAGCTGGGGTTACAAGCACAGGGGCCACCATGCCCAGCTGTAGATCTTCTTCGATTGACCACTGTGATGGAAACTGAATAATCCTATACAAAATGGCAAAAACCAAACTTTTTCCCATTTGACATTGCTTTTTAACAATTTCTTAATAGTTTTCTGTTGGCTGGCCAGCTAGAAGTATCTTGCTTTTCATCTGTTTTCAAGCCCCAGTTGTTCCAGCAGAATTGCACACTTTTCCCAGCTGATTAACTATCCTTTAGGTTATAAATTTGTCATGGGAAATGCTAACCCACACTGGCTTCCTCTTACCCCTTCACTTGCTCTTGGGCCCTTTCACCATCTAGCACTCCAGTCTGTAAAGGAAAATATTTTTTTTTCTTTTCTTTTTTTTGGAGACGGAGTCTTGCTCTGTCACCCGGGCTGGAATGCAGTGGTGTGATCTCGGCTCACTGCAACCTCTGCCTCCCGGGTTGAAGCGATTCTCCTGCCTTAGCCTTCCAAGTAGCTGGGATTACAGGCATCCACCACCACACCCAGCTAATTTTTTATATTTTTAGTAGAGACAGGGTTTCACCATGTTGGCCAGGCTGGTCTTGAACTCCTGACCTGAAGTGATCCACCCGCCTCGGCCTCCGAAAGTGCTGGGATTATAGGCATGAGCCACCGCACTCGACTGAGCATCATTTTTATTTCAGACTGAATGAGATATAATTAATACATTAAAAATCAACTTATTCTATATTCCAAAACTGTAGAACTCCTAAAATGTATCCCAGAGTCAATAATAAAGTTATCCACTCACTTCATTAGAGGAAGAGTTTGAGCTTTGGTGTCAGAAAGGTAGCACCTGGAATCCAAGCTCTGCCACTTAATAACTATGACCCTGGGCAAGCTATTTATCCCTCAAGTCTCAGCTCCTCCATCTGTAAAATGGTGTATTAATGCCTATCTCAAAGGGTTGTGGTGAGGTTTAAGTGAGCTAACTTACATAAAGCACTGGCTGTAATAAGGTACTCGATAATTGGTAGCTGCATTCTAAACCATCAAGTTTACTGTTAGCCACTTCTCTCTTCAGAGGTTCACTTAAGATGACTGCAAGGTGAGAAGATTCACAACCTGAGTTACGAGCTTAAGCACCTTAAAATCCTTTAGGAGCAAAGGACTGACTTTAGTTACTCTTCTCCCAGTAGTTGGCCCCATTCCCTTGCTTTCCATCACTGTATAAAGAAGCTCAATTCTGGCATGATATGAAACAAACCATATTTTACTTGACTCAAAAACTTCTCCTAATGGAGGAATAAACACTATTGTTAGGTTGGAAACTGAATGTTAGTCACAGATACGGTCTGTAATTTTCTAATCATGAGAGATGTTACCTGGATGCTGAAAAATGCCAAATCTCAAAATCCTGAGGGGAGGATTCATTACTAAATAAAGAATGGCTAGCACAAGGAATGGGAAAGAAAACTAAGGTTTTCTGAGTGTCTTTTCCAAGGACTCTTTATAGTGCTGGGCAGGTTCCCATTCCTTATTTAATCTTCTCAACAACACTATAAGGTAGCATCTTTTTAGGGTACCATGTCCTGGGTCTTGCCTGTTGCCCTACTGTCATCTTACTTTCTATTATCTGTATTTTATGGTTGAAGAAATGGAATCCAAAGGAAGGTATTTAAATATTCTGTGCATGGTTATAAAGCCAGAACACTCCTCCTTTCTGCAGTTAGATTTCTTCTAAGAATATCCCATGCATACCTTGTCCAACTGCAGCCTGGCTTCTCTAACAAAGCCACCATGACCTGCTGTTTGCTGAATCCATGGTCGCTCAGGTCTTCATCTTACGTGACCTCTGTGCAGCACTTTATACTGTTGGCCGCTCCCCTCTCTTCTGTGCTCTCTCTTTGGCTTCTGTGGCAACATTTCCTGCTTGGCCTCTTTCACCCTCTAGCTCTTCCTTTGTGGTGTCCTTTTCTCCTCCCCAAACCTCTGTAGATTGCACTTCGTCCTTAAGGGGATCTGATCCTTGACTGGCTACAGCTGCTATCTGCCAATAATTCCCACACCTATAACTCTAGCCCAGAGCTGTCTTTCAGGATCCAGTCCTATATATCCAACAAGATCTGGACATGTGCCTGCCTGCCCGAGTTACCTCATACAGCTAACTAAAAATTCATCACTTTCCTTCCCAAAGTCCTCTTCCAGCAGTTCCTTTTTCTGCCAGTGGACTCACCATCCTCCTAGTCATCCAGGCCAGACACGGGTGTCATCCTTGACTCCTCCCTTTGCCTTAGACCCCTACCCAAATTATCAAGTCCTGCAATTCTCTCTTCATTTCATCTCCGATCTCCACTGCCACTAACCTAGTTCTGGCTGCCTTTGGATCTCACCTGGACTACTGCATTAGGGCAGGTCTCTCTGTCTCCACTTTCTCTCCCTCATTTCCTTCTCTCTTGACATTGTAGTCAAGTCACCTTTTGAAAATGCAAATCTGATCATGTGATTCTCTCTATAAAACCCTTAACTCTGGGCCAGGTACAGTGGCTCACACCTGTAATCCCAGCACTGTGGGAGGCCCACACGGGTGGATTGTCAGGAGTTCAAGACCAGCCTGGCCAACATGGTGAAACCCCGTCTCTACTAAAAATACAAAAATTAGCCGGGTGTGGTGGTGCACGCCTGTAATCCCAGCTACTCGGGAGGCTGAGGCAGGAGAATTGCTTAAACCTGGGAGGCGAAGGTTGCAGTGAGCCGAGATCATGCCATTGCACTCCAGCCTGGGCAACAAGAGCAAGACTCCATCTCAAAAACAAAACAAAACATAAAACACTTAACTCTGTACACTATAAAAGGGTGAATATTATGGTATGTGAATTATGTCTCAATTAAAAAAAAATAAAACTTAACCTGGTTTACAAAGCCTTCTATGATTTGGTCTGGCTCAGCGTCTCTCATTGGCTTCCCTCCCCCGCCTCCCGCTTTCCTCTTAGCTTTACCATGCTACAGTTCCTTCTGCCTCCGAGCTCTCCAAACTCTCCAATCTACGTTTGCATTTGCTACTTATCCTGTGCAGGAACCATTCTCTCCTCCACCTATCCCTTGTCCTCCCCACTTGACTGACTCCTCCTTGTCCTTCAAATCTTAGCTTGAGATGATACTTCCCCAGAAGGCTTGGTCCCCCCGAACTGGGTTAGGTTCTCCTGATGTGTGTTTCATACTTAGCTCTTTTGTAGCATTCACCAAATATTTGTTCATTCTGTATTTATTGAGTGACTGCTCTGGGCTGGGCACTGGGCTAGGGCTGAGTATTTCATAAATGAGAGCTGTGGCCCCTGCCCCCATGGTACTTACAGTCTAAGAAGGGAAGAAAATGGACATTAAACAGTGAATTACACTAAATATTTTAATTATAATTATGGCATTTCAGAACACCCTGGGGAGGGCGTGTTAAGGGACTTGACATAACTGGAGGTATCAGATAAAGTGTCATTTAAGCAACTTTAAGGAGCCAGGTGGCCAACTGAAGAGTGGTGGGTGGATTGTTCCACACAGAGGAACAGCATGTAGGAAGGCTCTGATGCAAAGCTTGGGGGGCATTTCAGAAACTGAAAGGCCAACGTGGGAGACAAAGAAGAGCCTGAAAGAGCCAAATCTTACCTTCTGGACCATGGTAAGGGTTTCTAAGTTCATCTTAAGAGAAGTAGGTTGCCTTTGAAGACTTTTAACATGGGAACTTTAAAAGTTCCCCGTGGCGGCCGGGCGCAATGGCTCACACCTGTAATTCCAGCACTCTGGGAGGCCGAGGCGGGCGGATCACGAGGTCAGGAGATCAAGACCATCCTGGCTAACACGGTAAAACCCCGTCTCTACTAAAAATACCAAAAAAAAAAAAAAAAAAAAAAAAAAATTAGCCGGGCTTGGTGGCGGGCATCTGTAGTCCCAGCTACTCGGGAGGCTGAGGCAGGAGAATGGCGTGAACCCGGGAGGCGGAGCTTGCAGTGAGCCGAGATCGTGCCGCTGCACTCCAGCCTGGGCAACAGAGCGAGACTCCGTCTCAAAAAAAAAAAAAAAAAAAAAGTTCCCCATGGCTACTGTGTAAATAAGGAAGCAGGATGACAAATTAAGAGAATCACAAACTTCCGTGAGTCTCCCATTAAACTGTAAGCTCCTAGAGGGCAGGAACTGTGTCATTAATTTTTGTATTCACAGTTTCCAGGACTGTGCCTGACAGATGCTCAGTATCATTTTAATGAATTGAATAAATGATAGGGCCAAGATTCCAACCTAGGCTTTCAAGAAAGGCTCAAGTATCAATGCCCTGTCTCCCCTACACACAACCCTTCAAAGACCACCCCTCCACTCCACCCTAGACTGGGCTGGATACCCCCCTTTTACCTCCAGTGCATCTCTGGTGGATTGTATTTTCTAAATATGCCCACAATTATGTCTCACATCCCACATGTTCTTCTTACAGTGTAATTCCGAGACTCTTCCCGGTGAGAGGTGGGAGCTAGTTCCCTTCCCTTGGAATTGAGGCTAGGTCATATGATTCAGCTTCCTCTTGGTTCTCTTGGGATGCTGTGAGGAAGCCCAAACTGCCCTGTGTAGAGGCCCATGTGGAGAAAAACTGATAGCATTGAGAGCTATGTGAGACAGCCATCTTGAAAGTGGATCCTCCAGCTCCCCACAGTCCACCCCTTTGGGAGTAGAAGTGAGCTGTCCCTGCTGAGCCCTACCCATATTGCAGATTCATTGGCAAAATACAGCAGTGGTAGGTAACTAGAATAGCATCCTATGTTTGACATGCAGGGAGGCGGTATGTTAGTTGGATGGGCTATGACTACCTTGGTACTCATTAGTTGTATGACTTTTGGCAAGTTACTTAATCTCTCTCTGCTTCAGTGTTGTTTTTCAGTATAAATAAAAATCGTACCTATGCCTTAAGTTTGTTGGGAGGATTAATGTTGGTAAATGCAGCTCTACAGGTAATACAGATGAGTCATGTGAGCATCTCCTCAGACATGCCTCTGATCATTCAGCCATCGCTCTCGTGATTCTGTGTGTCTTTATAGTACTTTCACTCTATTCATAATATGTTTATATATAGGTATGTGTATGTACAGGTTGAGCATCCCTAATCAAACACCCAAAATGCTCCTAAATCGGAAACTTTTACATGCCTACATGATACCACAAGTAGAAAATTCTACACACAAGTACCTAACACAAACTTTGCTTCATGCACATAATTTTTTTTTTTTTTTTTGAGATGGAGTCTCACTCTGTTGCCCAGGCTGGAGTGCAGTGGCGTGATCTTGGCTCACTGCAGCCTCCGCCTCCTGGTTTGAAGCCATTTTGCCTCAGCCTCCCGAGTAGCTGAGATTATAGGCACTTGCCACCACACCTGGCTAATTTTTGTATTTTTAGTAAAGACAGGGTTTCACTGTGTTGGCCAGGCTTATCTTGAACTCCTGGCCTCAAGTGATCCTTCTGCCTCCCAAAGTGCTGGGATTACAGGCGTGAGCTGCCACACCCAGTCCAGGCACACAATTATTTAAAATATTGGCCAGGCACGGTGACTCATACTTATAATCCCAACACTTTGGGAGGCCTAGGCAGGAGGATTGCTTGAGGCGAGGAGTTTGAGACCGGCTTGGGCAACATAGGAAGACCCTGTCTCTACAAAAAAATAAAGAATTAGCCAGGTATGGTGGTGCTACTCTGAGGCAGGAGCATTGTCTGAGCTCGGGAGTTTGAGGTTACAGTGAGCTATGATCACACCACTGCACTTAAGCCTTTACTCCCATTCCCACTTTGATGGATTCACTTCACTTATTCATTCACCAGCTTTTTGGGTTTTTCTTTTTAGTGCTTCCGGTGTGCCTAGAATACCTAGTACTTGGGGTGCATATCCATTTGTATTTTTGAATCCTTAATCTTTGGCTTCCAGGATAAAGATCAGTCAGGTTTCTAATTCTGTGTGCATTCTTACAGCCAAACCGTGTACTCTACTGACCCATGATCAAGTGGCTGTTCTCCCAACAGCAGCCCATCCATGTGGCCTCCCTAAACTTAGCTGTGGTGCTGGATGCATTAACCTTATCGTGATGTATGATTGGATGTTATAGTATCAAGACCAAATGATGGATCCCTTTACTCAGCTCCAAGGTACAGCCAGATTAACATTTGGTACAGTAGTAAAACACTTGAGACTCGTCATAAATTTAGCCCCAAAGGTTAGAGCTTTAGGAATTTCTGCCATGGGTTGCCATGGTTCTGCCACAGGCTGAGGCAGACCATTGAGACAGATGCCAGAATATTGGGACCACATTGTATTATAACTTTTGATATTTTACTTTTGAGGCTGTTTAAAGTATTGTTGTGTATGTGTGTGTGTGCGTGCTATTTCAGGAGTAGGAGTAGGGGGTTGGGCTATTTGGAGAATCTGATGGAAATTATAGCACCATTTTCCAAAAATAATACACATCCACAGACACACACACACAGAGTATTTAGAAACAGTTTCAGGATGGCCAGGTTAGTAATCCACCTGTGACTTGCTGTAAGGGTAGAAACTTTTCTATACCATAACTTAAGCCTTTATCATGTACTATGTTCATTTATCTTTTCATGTGTGCATGCTTTATCCCAGTGAGCAGGCAAGCTTCCTACAAGGAACATATGCCTCTTTATGACCCCCAGTAATGTGGGCATGTAGGGACCTCACCTGTGGGAAATCTTGCCAGTTGAGTCCTTTGAAGCTGCTGTGATTCACTGAGGACGGCAGCCTTCCCTTCAGCATTCCATCCTTCACCCACCACCCTCTAACACAAAAGAGATTACCACAAGAGGACTTGGACCCTACACTCATGTTCTGTTTGCTTTCTGGGTTTTAGGCTAAAGCATTATTTACATACTCCTCATGCAAATATCCACTTGGCTATTTAGAGAACAAAGCAGTGCCTACTGGAAAGATTTTTTTTAAGTATTAATAAGTGAATGCATTCTATTATTTTAAAAATTTGTGATGTCTTTATCCCTTTGTCAGCTCCATACTTTGCCCCATACACTCCCATACCTGTAATCAGGACCTCCTTTTTGTTCTAGCCCATGAATTCCTAACTGCACTCCTTTCCTGCCATGTGCTTGTGAGAGAAAAAAAAGCAGGCATAAACCTAATGCTAATAGAACGGTGGCCATGTGGTTTTTCCTTGTTTTCTTGTCCTTCCCTCCCCCTTATAAATCTCCAAAGGCCACCTTCCCATCCTAACTTTGGAAGGGTTTTCCCTCCAGGCTTGTCTCCCTGACTCTATAGGTAATTACAGCCACCTGGTGGCCATATGGGGAAATGACAGATGGATTGGCCCCCAAAAATCTGGTGAGACCCTCTTTTTTTTTTTTAACTTTTTTTTTTTTTTTTTTAGATGGAGTTTCGTTCTTGTTGCCCAGGCTGGAGTGCAATGGCACTATCTCAGCTCAATGCAACCTCCATCTCCCGGGTTCAAGCGATTCTCCTGCCTCAGCCTCCCAAGTAGCTGGGATTATAGGTGTGTGCCACCACGCCCGGCTAATTTTTTGGATTTTTAGTAGAAACAGGCTTTTGCCAGGTTGGCCAGGCTGGTCTTGAACTCCTGACCTCAGGTGATCCCCATGCCTCGGCCTCCCAAAGTTCTGGGATTACAGGCGTGAGTCACTGCACCTGGCCAGAGACCCTCTATGGAATAACTTTTGGTTTTGGATATTGGGGAAGCAAGGAAAGTGAATCCTATGGATAGAGACTATAGCACAGGAACCAGACATCCTATTTCTTGGTCCTTCCTTGCCTACTAGGACACAACATCCCCCCCACTAGGTATAGACGGATGAGTTCACTTAACATTGGAGTTCATTCAAAATTTATTGAGCTGCAACTGTGTGCTCAGCAATGAGAATATAGCAGTGAGCAAGATGTGAACAAGATCTCTGCCCTCGTGAGCTTACAATCTAGCAGCGCAGCCAGCCTATTACAGCCATAATTTTACAATTGTAATAAAAACTCTGGAAAATGCATGGTGCTAACTGATTTATCAGAAAGTCTTGACCCACCAAGAAATCAGAAAAGACCTCCCTGAGGAAGGAACATTTAGGATCAGCTAGGTGGAAAGTGAAAGGAAGAGTGTTGCAGGCAGAGAGGACAGTGTGTGAGGGTCTGAGGCAAGACATGTAATGAACTGAAAGCCAGTGTGTCTAGGCCATAGAGAACAAAGAGGGGTGTTGCGAGATGAGCCTGATTTATACAAGATCTTTGAATTTAGGACTTTATTCCAAAAGCAGTTGGAAGCCACTGAAGAAGCTAAGGAAAGTTCGATGTTTAGGTTTGTTTTTCATAGCTGACTCTCATTGCAGCATGGAAGTCAGAAGTGGAAATGGGAGAACAGGTTAGGAAGTTTCCGTAGCAGTTTAGACAAGAGGTGATGGTAACTTGGAGAAAAGAAGATAGGTTCCAGAGATATTTAGGAGACAGATTACACTTGATGAGTGACTGGATGTGTGAGGAAAGGGATGTGTTTCTAGCAAGAGACATTGAAGTAGGAGTCTCTGGAAGAGGGACAGGTTTTGGCAGAATGGGGACATCCTGTAGGCACAGGACAGGCCCTGAGGCTTGCACTAGAGGAACAGCATAGCTTTCATTCTCAAATAGTTCAGGGTTTAATTGAGCAAACAAGGTACACATAATTGCAGAGTTGATTAAAGATCAAAATGATCGATTTAGATAATTCATGGACTCCTGCATTCCATGGGGTTAGATTTAAACCCTCCATCTCACAGTAAATTCAGATACTGCCGAAGCCAACAGCAATGTTTCCACCTTTGTTCATGCCTCCCAAAGCCCCTCAGAAAATGCCTATATAGCCCACCAGTATCTCACAGGGGCCACCTTCTCCTGTGCTGGGCCCTGGTGTCCCCTGCCAGAAGACACACTAAACTCTTCCTGATTTGTTTTTTGCTTGCTGCTGCCAGGAAGTTCAACTGTCTGTCATTCTCAAATCTCCCCTCCTTAAGTTAAAGGAGACCAAATCTAGCCATTACCCCCAATAGTGGTTCTCTTTTGGTCACCAGGAGAGTTTTCTGACTTAGTTAGCATCTCTGTTTACATTACCCCTGTCGAGCTCCCTCTTTTGGAGTCACCGTCTTGCAACCCTGTCTTCCTCATCTTCTCCAAGTGGCAAACTGCCTCCTTTTTCTCCCTCGCCAAAGTGTCACTAATTTGCCGGCCTTTTCCCCACTCTAGTTTTCCTTCAAGTTAGTAAATACCCACCTCTTTGCCCCAAAAGGTCAGGAGAGAAATCTGGGGTATGGGATTAACAAAGAAGTAGCCCCAATAGCTATTGCTTAACTGACACTTAGCCTTCCTTGCCTCCTCTTCGCCACAGGAGAACTCTGCAAACTCCCTTCCAGAGACAATAACTGCAAACTATACAATAGGACCACAATTTCCTATTGTGCAGGGATCCTAGGACAAAGCCACATCCCAAATACTTGCTGAGAGCAGTGGCTACAAATGTTAACATGAGATTAGACATTGAGATGGTCCCTTTATATTGAGAGAACATGGACTTTGGAGTTGGGCAGACTTGAATTTGCATTCTGGCTCTAGTGGTTACTACCTAGTGTGGCTTTGAGCTATTAAACTTTCCAAAGTTTCGAAGGACTTATCTGTAACATAGTAATGGTAATCCACCTTATGGGGTAGTTGTCTTGAAGAGGCTATTTGGGAGGCTGAGGCAAGAGGATCACTTGAGGCCAGGAGGTTGAAACCAGCCTGGGCAACACAGCGAGACCCTGTGTCTACAAAAAATTAAAAAATTAGGCATTGTGGCGTGCACCTGAAGTCCCAGCTACTCAAGGCAGAGATGGGAGGATCACTTGTGCCCAGGAGCTCCAGGCTGCAGTGAGCCATGATTTTGCCACTGCACTCCAGACTGGGTGACAGAGCAAGACCCCTTCTCTTTGTTGGGGGCAAAAAAAAAAAAGAGGGTATATGAAGTACCTAGTATAATATCTAGCCTGAATTGCCTATAATGACGCACTTCCTTTCTTTCCCTTGGGTTTCAGCTGCCAAACACTCTTCTACAAGTAAGATAAGCCAGCTTTGTATGGTCAATGATAAACATTTCCTATTTCTTTGTAAATCCCATCTTCCTGCAGACATCTCATTTCCATCATTGCCAAAAAAGTCCTTCCATCCCTCACCCCTGTAGAACTACTCTCTCTTAACTATCAAACAGTTCTGCCTGAACTCTGACTATCCTCTTCTACATCTCCCTAAACCAAGGTACTTGATCTTCTTGTATCATTCCCAAAGATTAATTCACTAATTTTCTCAGAGCAAACTGTAATGAAGGCAGGGAATAGGGCCTTTACACTTCAGAAGGGCACAGGCTAGCTCCTGGAGAGGAGTGGAGATCTGGGTCCAGGCACCCCTCGGCCCCACCACTTTTCCTCAAGGCACAGAAAAAGCCAAACTCGAAATACGTCTTGAGTCTACACGAGTGTACATCTCCTTGCCTACAACTCCGTGAGATCATCATTGAAGTACAGAAGTATTGCAGGTGTGTGAAGTGTACCGTCCATACTGAGATAGTCAAATTCTTCCTCCTCATCCCGGATCCCATTCTCTTCCAGGGTAAAATCCATGTTCAGGTTCTTCCCTTCATATTTCCACGTGTAGCTGGCAGCATGTGAGTTATAGGGGAGATAGCGGTGTAGGATTTCCCATATGGACTCCAGAACCCCCACCTGGAGAACACAGAAGCACCCCACCCCCAGAATTCTGGATGGAGTATACATATACACACGCTGGGATCAAAGTGCCTCCCTTGGCAGATAGCAGCTTCAGGTACTCTACGGCCCCGGGAAAAAAAAGCTGAAACTCCAGCATGCAATGAGCAGACCCTAAAGTCCTACAGATCTTAATGGCAGCCACTTCTAACTACCGGATGGCCATAAAGGGTCAACTGTCCCCTCACTATATCCATGCAACAGAGTAGATTAAAAAGAAAGTCCAATTGCTGTCCAAAACGGCGTGTAAGAGCTTCGAAGGACCACCATCACTAAGATACATGAACTGCTGTTCCCAGGCTTATAAAGGAGTCTCTTGTCCCCCTGTGACCCAGACACTCCTAGAATTCCCAACCCTGGGGACCTAGGTGCTGTGCTTTCCTCAGTTGCCTCAATGTAAAGGACAGAAAATACACTCCCACCGGTTATGGAAAAAATGTTGCCCTGAAGATCGGCCTGGAGATTTGCTGGGATTCCCCATTCCTTCTAACCTGCTCCTTGTCACCAGTTCTCACCTCCAGTGTGTGCTCCTGCGACGTGAGCGTGTTAATGATGCGGATGCTCCGGGTCTTGGCAGACAGCCGCCCCACCTCATAATACGACCCCTGCCACCAGGGCTTCCCAAAATCGTTGGCCCAGTCCGAACAGGGCAGCTGAGGCGGAACGTGCACAAAGCGGCCCCGCGGGGTGCAGTACCTCAGGCAGCCGGTCAGCGGATCTATGTGCTTGCGGATCTTTAAAGGAGGGTTTGGGGCGAGGGTGTCAGAGCAGCCATTAGGCTCTGGCTAGCCTCCGCCTTTCCTTCCCATCCCCGCTCTCCATTTCCTCTACCCACAATCCCAGGTTCCAGCATAACTCACGTCTCTGGTCTTTGGATCAAACCAGTGGCTGATATCCTGGCCTGCAACTTCCACGATGGGTTTCAGCAGCAGGTTCCCTTGAAAAGAGCAGCACAGCCACTGTCAATGCCAGCCCTTCGAGAACCAGGCAAACGCGCGCGTGCACACACACACACTCCGGCCCCGGCCCAACGTGTGGCCCTTACCCTTGTATTCCTGTGCCAATGACGTTAGGTCGTACACGCGTCCCAGGTAAGATACCCAGAGGTCTTCGGGCCTGTTATGTTGGGCCACCTCCGCCGGCGTGAAATAGCGACGCTGAAAATACTCCAAGTCTGGCCCAGCCACCAGGCCCCGGCGCGGCATGGCTCTTGCTCTGTCGGTCACTGGATCTCTTGGTTACTCCTTTGCTCCTCAGCACGTACTCACTACTACTACGACCTCCGTCGCGTCCGGGAGCCGAGGGGAGAGCGTTTATCCGCTGACATGGAAACCATTGTCCTTTTCCGGCCACCGTCCACTGAGATAAATATCAGGGGCGGGGTTTGGACTGCACGTGTTCACGGGAAACGTAGTATGAGTCCCGCGTGGGGCATATAAGGATCAAGTAATTGAGTTGCGCCGCTTTCAGGAGTTGCGGGGTGGGGCAGAGAACGAATACGCTCCGTTTTAATTCAGTGGCCTGGGCTACATGGGATATTTAGGACAGACTATCTCTCTGAGACAGAAAAACAAGGGAGGAGGCAGTATGAAAGAATGTATTCTCGCTAAATTCCAGTTTCTAAAGGATGTGTAAGAAACCAGAGGTAAAGGTCTCGCGATATCTTAAGACATCCGGCGTAGTACGCTTCAGTGAGCCACAGCGCTAGAGAAGTAGGAGAAGCTCGCGAGATCTGTGCCGTTGCCGAGGAGACTAGGAGGGGGAGGAGAGGGGATCTCGCGAAAGGAAAGAGGTCGGGAGCGCTCGCGAGATCTCGGACCACCCAACCTGAAAGGTGCTTAGGAAGTTGAAAGGCCCAGAGGAGGCCTCCGGGCAAATGGCCGGAGCTGGACCGACCATGCTGCTACGAGAAGAGAATGGCTGTTGCAGTCGGCGTCAGAGCAGCTCCAGTGCTGGGGTTAGCACGGGCTCTGGTTCTGGGACTGAGGGGCAGTCAAGCAGCAAGATGGAGGGGGTGGGGAACTGCAGCTCCCGGCAGCCTCTGGGCTTTGTGTGAGTGCCCCGCGGGCTGCCGGGAGCTGTGGTTCCGCGGGCGGGCAGCCTGGGCTGCGCGGTCTGAGCGCTTGTTACACCCCGCGCAGGATTCGGACGGAGAGCGCGAGGACTCGGCGGCTGAGCGCGCCCGACAGCAGCTAGAGGCGCTGCTCAACAAGACTATGCGCATTCGCATGACAGATGGACGGACACTGGTCGGCTGCTTCCTCTGCACTGACCGTGACTGCAATGTCATCCTGGGCTCGGCGCAGGAGTTCCTCAAGCCGTCGGGTCAGTGCCCGGGGAATGCACACCCGCCTGGTAATGTGGCGGAACCTTACGCAAGGCATTTCCCCTTAAGGGCCTGGCTGCAACCCTTGTTTTCTGGGGCTCGTTTTCGTGGCTCAGAGGGGCGGGACTGATTCTGGCCTACTTTCCTGATGCTCTGATCCTTCTTTCCAGATTCCTTCTCTGCCGGGGAGCCCCGTGTGCTGGGCCTGGCCATGGTACCCGGACACCACATCGTTTCCATTGAGGTGCAGAGGGAGAGTCTGACCGGGCCTCCGTATCTCTGACCACGATGGCGCTTACCTTTCAGACTTCATTAAACTTATGACCGAATGGGCCTGTGTCTGTGTGTAGCTGGGATGCCGGTGCAGGATAGCACACCCCATCCCTAGAGGAAAGGGCTCATCTGAAGTCGGGAGCACCCTCAACCCTCCTCTCCCAACCAAGATGTCCAGGGGTGCCAAAGGTTCTCTCAAGTTCAGGGGTAGAGATGGGGGGCAGGGCTGAATGACGGACCAACAGGCCCCAGGGTGGGCCCCTGCATCTTCCCTCCCACGGCTGCTGCTCCAGAATTGTGGCGGGAGGGGGTGTCATCCTGCTCCGGAAGGCCCATTGTTTCCCACCCCGGCCTGGCAACACCGAGTTCCTCTAAGCTGGGGTCAGAGAACGGGCTCAGGTCCCCAAGGGGAGCAGCGGCAGGCGGCCGAGGCTGGGCCCCTCCACTCTATTGAGGGGGAGGTGCCTGGGGTCAGGAACAGATCTCTGAGGTCTGGCCAGGAAGAACGGACAAAAGCGATAAGGCCAGGGGGCTCAAGGATGCTCCTCTCTGCTCATTTGTAGCCCTGGCACATGTTTCCTGTTCCTCGGCACAGGGCAGGGGTGATAGTACTTGTGCCACGCCTCTGTTCGCAGAGCGCGTTCAGTTCGTTAAATCTTTATTGATGCGTGGACACTCCTTCCCCTCCAGCCCCGCCCCCCAGCCCCAGAAATACTAGAGAAGCTGCACCATAAAACGAGGGCACGAGATTGTTGTCCCATTCACGACGGAGCTGAGGGGGAGGTGTGCAGGTTCCAGCCTAGATGTTCAGGATTGAGATGTGGGTCGTGAAAGGAAAGTGGGTTTTCCGGGATGTGGGGGCTTTTCTCAGCACTGGGTCCACTGACGCTGCTGCTCCCAAGGGGATGCTAGGACTCCGCTCAGGCAGGGGTGGGGGCAGGGCAGGTCGGAAGATGCCGGGCTTCAAGTCCTTGGGCCGAATAAGAGGGAGGGCAGCCGTCAGGGTTGTTCTTGACTCGAGGGTCATTAGACCCAGACCTTTCCTGATGTGGGAACGGCCTGGGACCCTGGTGAGGCCCGGATTTGCCGCGGCTGCGGGGCGCGCCGACGCCGATAAAGGGCTCGGCTGTAGGGCACGAGGCAATCGGCTAGGCGGAGGCGCAGGCAGAGGCGGCGGTAGCTGGCCAGAGCAAGCACGAGCAGCGGCACGAGGAGCAGGAATCCGGTGACCAGTAGGGCCGTGAAACCGGGGTCCCGCAGGTGCGCGGTGCAAGGGGGTGCCTGGGAGCGCAGGAACTGTGGGAGAAGAGGCGTCAGGCCCAAGCCGACCAGGCGATACTGTGCACGGGGTGGAAACAGCCCAGGCGGGTTGAAGTTGTGGCCCATAGACCCCACCGCCAGCATCACCACACACCAACACTCACACTCACACGCACACCCCGGGGCGCACGCTCACCTGAGAGTGGCAGAGGAAGCCGAAGCCCAGCATGGTGACAGCGGGTAGCAAGATGGTCCCTAGCACCAGCACCAGCAGGAGAAGATTGAAGGCAGCCACCAGCAGATTCTGGGCTGTTACAAGAACAGCGCAGGCCCAACAGTCCAGGGGGTCCCGGGGCTCTGGGCCGTCACCAGGAACCGCTCGCTGTGCCCCGGGGACATCCGCCATGGCCCGCCTGGATCCCGCCCGCCTGGGCCGCTGCCCTTATAGCCCTCTTTCCTGCCCCTCCCCCGGCCCAGCCTCTCCCCACCCCCCTTATCCTGGAATGCGGCTCTAGGATTAGGCACCCCCCATCCCGAGGAGCGGACCAGAGCCCTGGACATTCCACAGGCGCCTCCGGGGAGGGGCTCACCCTCGCCAGGGTCTGCGCAGTCCTCCCCATCAATCACGGTCTTGCAGCCCTCCCGGTACTCAACCTGCTACCACCAGCCGTTAGCGAAACAGGATTTTTTTTCTCCGTTTATTTTTAATATTAATATTCTCACACAAAAATCACCGAAAATAGGGGTAGGGTTGGGAAGACCCCTCTGCCCCTGGGGCAGAGAGACAGTGCAGTGCGAGGGTGCGGGACTGTAAACCCCCCACCCCTCCGCAGCCCCAGCGTGGAGAAAAAACAACCAACAAAACGAAAATAAAGCCCCAGAGAAACTCACCCCGGGGTGTCCCTGCCCCAGTGAGGCCCTGGCCCTGGGTTGTTTCACACTTAAAAAGAAAAGGGGGTGGGGGTGAAGGTCTGTGTTTTTTAAAGTTGGCCGGGGCTGGGAAGGACGGGGTTCCTTTTCCTCATAGTTCTTTCTTTAAAACCTTTAATTTTTTTATTTTATTTATTTTTTTTACAAAATACCATTTCAGTTCCCACTTCTTCCCCTACAGTACAGGAGTTGCTCACCCTCAGGTGGGGCTGGGGTCGGGTCGGGAGTGGGGGGACTGGTCCGAGAAAGTGCAGGACGTAGGGGAGGGGAGCGGGTTTGAGCACCATGAGAACCCGGCTGGAGCCGCGGGCGGACGGGTGGAGACGGTCGGGCCGGGCCCGGACACACACTGGGGCGCGGGGAGAGCCCGGCGACGGGCGGTCCCTGGAGGGGCGGGCAGGATGGCTTGGGGGTGTGGGAGGTCGGGTTTTCCCAAAAATGAATAAATAGAGGTGAGTGGGACTGTTATAAATTAAAAACAAAAAAACAAGAAAAGAACAAAAAATACAAATCATAACCAAGTGAATAAAGAGACATGTACAGGGGTCACAGCTAGCATTGGAAGTAAAAAAGGAGGTTCCGGGGGAGGGGTAAAGCCCATAGAAAGAATCTCATTAAAAACCTCGGCTGCCGTAACGTCTATGTACATACACGAGCCGCGTGCATCTGCGCCGGGCGGGCGGGCGGCTGGCAGGGTGAGGGAACCCGTATGTGACCCCCGCCGCCGCCGGAGCCTGGTCCTTGTGTCTGTTGCTAAAAAGGCCAAAGTCGGTGAGGGGAGGCGCTGGTGGGCGAGGGGCTGCCAGCCCCCTCCCCCGTCTCCCATTTTTTTTCCTTTTTTCCTCATATTTGCTAAAAAAAAAAAAAAAGTTTTTCTTAATAAATTAAGTGAGGGGAGCTGCCAATGGGGTGGAAGGGCTGGGCCCGACCCCCTTCTCGGCCACAGGCGGGACCTAGGTCCAGCCCAGGCATGTGCTGGTGGCCCCGCGGCGCCTTGCGCGGGCAGGCAGGCGGGCGGGGCGTCCGGCCTCATCGCGACGTGCTGGCTGGGGCCTGGGGGGAGAAAGCCGGCGGGGGCTCAGGGAAAGGCGCGGCCGGGCTCCCGAAGCCCGTCCCTGCAGCCTGCCCCAGTGCCCTCCTCCGCTGCCCGCGCGCCCGCCGGGCCCTCACCAGCGTGAAGGCGTCGTAGGCCTGAGCCAGCTCCTCAGTGCGGTACTGCTCCAGCACCACCACGCCCTGCAGGCCTGCGCTGCGGCGCCGGGCACAGCCCTCGCAGTGTACCAGGTACGTGTTGCGGCTGCCATTCTCACTTGTCACGAACAGGATGTTAAACACCTCCACCTGGGGCAGGGAGGACAGTGCAGTCAGGGGGAGGGAGGGCCACTGTGGACACTCAGGGAGAGCAGCAGAGCCGGCCCACTCACATCGCACTCGTTGCAGTAGTAGGCTGGCTCGTCCTTGACACGGCCCTGGTAAGCGATTTTCTTCCCTGCCCGCACCAGGCTCTCGCGTTGCACCTGGCAGTGCTTCATGGACTGCAGCAGGCAGAACCTGGGGAGCAGTGGGGTTGTGTTGAGACCACCGGCAAGGAGGAGGCCTGAGGCAGGGCTGGAGCAAGGGCAGAGGGGTGGGCAGCCCCAGGGCCCTCCCCTAGGGGCCTCCCCGCTTCATGTCTAGGTCACATCCTCTGTCCTGGGCATCTGTTATAGGCGAAGTTTCCTGTGGCTTTTGTCTATTTGGACCACTAGAAAAGGTCATGACAGCAAGGACCTAGTTAGCCTCCCCAACACAGTAACACTCGGGGCACAGGCAGACAAGGATGGAGAGAGGTAAAAATGGGGTGGAGTCAGACAGGAAGAACAAGAAAAGGGACCAGTCAGTGGAGGTGGGCTCCCACCCAAATAGGGTCCTCACTTGATCATCTTGAACAAGTCGGGGTCGCTGATTTTGACCGTGCGAGCCACGTTCCATGACACGTGAATCATGGGCACGATGGATTTGACGTTCTTCACCTCATTCCACTCGTATCGTTCCAGGGCCAGCTGGTACTGATAGGCTGCGGGCCAAAGGCGATCACAACAGGACTCTCAAACAGCCCCCAGACACCTAGGCCCAAGCCCCTTCCCTCACTGCTGGCGGCTCTCCAAGCCCCAGCCTCCCAGGCCCTTGCCGCTGAGGCGCCACACCACGCCAACACCTGCCCCACCCTCTCACCGGTGAGGGGCCCCACGTTCCAGGCAATGTTGTTGCACCAGCCGGTGGCCTGCACCCAGTGCACAGTCCCCGCATTAATCCACACGAGGTCTCCGGGTCGCTGCACGAAGCGGTACACAGGAATATTGGATGCATAGAGATCATCCAGGATTGGCCACCAGGAACCCGTCAAGTAGTCCACGCCGTGCCTGCGGGGTGGCCACAGGTCAGGTGGGAACTGGGGACCGAGGGCGGGGACGCGGCAGTCTGACTTGCGCAGGACGGCACGCACCGATCACAGAAAGCGCTGATGGTCTCCCAGTAGTGCTCGTGCACCGCGAACCACTCGCAGTCGCCTGGGCCAATGTTGATGTTGACGGAGCAGAAGTTGTTATTCTCCTGGTGGCCTGCAGGGGTCGACAGAGAACGGCATGGCTGGCCAGGTCGGAACTGCGATCCCCGATAGCCCCGCCCTCTGCCCTCATTGGCTGACGGCTGAGCGCCGCCGCCAGCCCCTCCTCTCGCGCTTCCAGCATCAGCGCGCACAGGCGTGGAGCGCACCTGGCGTTCGGCTGCCGGGCACCTTCATGTACAGCTGCACCGTGTTCATGCCCAGGATGGTGTGGCCCACGTGGCTCAGCATGTTGCCCGTGGATGTTACCCGCATGAAGGCGGGCAGCTTCAGCAGCTCCTGCAGCTGGGGCTTCCACCTGCGGTGCGGAAGTGCGACGAGAGGCTACACCCCGCCCCCGCCACGAGGTCCTAGCAGCACTCCTGCCCCAACTTCCCTGGCCTCAGCCCCACTGACCGCTTAGCATCAGACAAGTCGATGTTGGTGCCAAACTTGATGATGTGATGGTTCTTCGGGTCTGGTGCGCTGCTGCTGGGGCGAAGAGCACAGGTTGGTGGAGAGCAGAGGGAGGGGAAGGAAGCAGGAACAGAAGGGGCACACCTGCACAGTACCTAGGAGGGGTTCCAGTGGTGCTGTCTGGCTCCTCTGACTCCTCATCCTCACTCTCCTTCTCCTCCTGTTCAGCCAGAGGGTAGGCAGGCCTGGGTCAGAGACCTTTCGAGAGCCCTCCCACCGCAGCCCCGTCCCAGGACCTGCCTCTGGCCACGTTCTCATCTCACCTGCAGAGACTCCTGGAAGGATGAGGCCTGGTACTGTGCGTACTTGGCAATGGTGGTGTGGGAACGGGAGCTCTCACAAGGCCAGATCTGCCGAGTGCCTGTCAGATCCCAGTTCTCATCTGAGGGCTGCTGCACCTGGGTGCGAACTTCCACGGTGTGTTCGCCACTCGCTTCCACCAGGGTCTTGGTGGAGAAGAGGCCCAAGTCTGGAAGGGAGGGCCGAGCAGGGTGTCGGGGCAGAGGCAGAGGATAGGGACCGAGGACCCAATCGACCCTTTCCCTTCCTACTCCTCTGGCTCTGACAGGGTGGTCATAGGTTTAGCAGAGCTCAGCCCAGAAGAAATAGGCAGGAGCCCTAGCCCCACAGGAAGCTGGGAGTGCTGGCCTCTATCTGCATCCTCACCAGCCCTCTTTCTCCTGCAGCTGCTCAAGGACTCAGCCCCTAGACCAGTGTTCCCAGATGTGTGCGTGGCCATGTGCACCGCACCTGACAGACACATAGTAGGTGCTCAATGAATGGCAGCTTCTTTTTTCCCCATTTGGAGTCTAGTCAAAACAGCAGCTTCTTTGAGTTACCATTGGATCCAATTAAAGATTAAAGATTCAGTCAAGTGAAAGCCTGAAATGTGCTTCAAATAACTCAGTGTGGGGAAGGGAGAACATACAGGTATAAAGGAGACAAGATTGACCTTTGTATTTCTATACAGCTTTCTCTAATTTTGTATGTGTTTGAAATTCTGCGCAATAAAAGACTGAGAGAGAGCCCCAACATCACAGATTTTCAGGGGTTTTCTAAAATCTGTATTATTCTCTTCCTTAATCACCAAAAAATTCAGAAATGACTAATCAGGCCCTGACTATGGCCCCTTCTCCCTTGCCAAATGCTGGAGACAGACAGATGGGAGAAGAGCCCAAGGCCAGCAGACCCATCACTCAGTGGACTCCTCACGGCCACTGTCATGAGTCTTCAAGTGTGGGATTTCTCAGAGGGTCCTACATGCCCCAGACCCTTGTAGCCCTCCCTAACACTTTCTGCCCCCCATACTCACTGAGCCGCAGGGAGCCCGCCAGGCCCCGGATCACTGTGATGGGATTTCGAGGGTCTGTACAGAACTGCAGCAGGACAGGTGAGAAGGCATCCCGTTTGCTCTCCAGCTGAGACATGACCAGGAGAGCTGGGGTCAGAGCCCTGGCCCAGGCTCAGAGCACCCCAGCAGTCCCCAACACTGTCTTAGAACCCTCTGGCAGGGGTGGTTCTGAGGCCAAGTGGCACACATACATAGATGCTGGGTGTAGGGGGGTTGAGTTTTTCCCGGGGCAGCTTCTCCTCAGTGTTGATCTTCGGTTTCACAGACTGGGCAGGGGAAAGGTAGGACTCTCGAAACTTCCCTTTCACCTTGGCATTCCTGCGGGAGGACAGTGGAATGAAGACAGAAACATCAGGGTGATGGGGGAAGGGAGCCTGTCTCCGGGACAAGCAAGCAGGCAGCCGACTCACCTGCTGGCGCGCACGACGTCAGCAGCACAGTGGCTGATGGTGAGGTCTGCCATGCGCAGCCGCCGCTCTTCCACCTCAGAGGCGATAAAGGTCTCCTTGTCACCACTCTCTACCTTGATGAGCCGGATCTTCAGCTCCTTGGGGGGCCCCTCACTAAGTGAGCGCAGCTTCAGCATGTCGGCCCGGCTGACACCCGGTGGCCCTGGGGCTTCCTCCCGAGCCTTCTTTCCAGGGACAGAGGCTGACGGGGGTGTGGGCTGGGCAGAAGGTGCAGGAGCTGATGGAGGGGCTGGAGCTGTGGGTGGCTTGGCCTTGGAGGCCCCGCCAAGATCGGGCCGGGACTTCTCACGACCCTGGATCTCCTCGCTCTGCAGGTCCAGGTTCCCCAGCACCCGGCGGCTCTTTTCTTTGGGGACCTTGGCCTTGGCCTTTGCCCTGCCCTCACGGGGCCGACGACCCACACTGTCCTTACAGGCCCGCCTGTGCCGCCGATGCTCCTTCTGATGCTCCTTCTGTCGCCGCTTACAGCTGCCTGACACTGCCGCCACCCCGCCAGCCTCCTCCTTGGCCTGTGCGGGGGGCAGCAGTCGCTCAGTCCCACTGTCCGCTGGCTCTGCTGTGTCCACTGGGTCGGCTGGGTCAGTGGCACTCCGGCCCACCCGCTCCACAAGGGTCTCGCAAGCCCGGCTGATCTCTTCTAGCACCTCAGACTCAGAGCGAGCAGGGGGCAGAGATAGGGGTGGGGGCGGTTGGGTGGGGGTCATGGGGCCCGGGACTGGCTCTTCGCCCGCCCTGCGCTCCCGGGCCCAGGGCCCGCCTGAGGTAGAGAACTGAGATGACGAGGAAGCAGAGGGCTGTGGGGAGCCCTGGGCGCTAGGGGCCGCTGAGGTGGGCGGCAGGGCGGTAGCACCTGATGGGGGGCCAGGGGAATACTGAGTGGTGGGCAAGGGCCCAGGCCGGGTGGAAACAGCTGCTCCAGTCCCCCGATAACAGTACTTTTGTCCCTCCAGCACGGAGGCCAAGGATTTGAGCAGGCTGGCCGGGCTGGGGGGTGGGGGTGGTGGTGGCTGTGGCTGAGAGGGTGGAGGGAACTTGGCTAGAGGCGGTGGTGGTGGTAGGGCTGGTGGTGGCTTCTTCTCCTCTTCCTGGGTGGCCGTGGTGGTGGTGGTGGTGGTGGTGGTGGTGGTGACGGCGACAGCAGGAGCAGTAGTGGTGGGGGCTGTGTCGGTGGGGAAAGGAGACTGCAGAGATGCAAAGGGCTCCTTCAGCGGGGGTTGGGGGGCCACGCCTGCTTCGTGTTGTTGCTGTTCCTCTTCCTTGCGAATGGATTCGTCCAGCATCTTCATGATGTTGGCCAGCCCATCAGGTAGGATCTTGAATTCGGCTGGCTCCTCAAACTGGTCCTCCAGCGGAGTGGGGGGAAAATCAAAGAGTCGAGGGCCTCGGGCAGGCAGCTCCCCAACCCCGGGCGGCACAGGCTGGGGGGCTTTACTCAGGGGGCCTGGGGGTGGCCCCGGCCCCACCTCGGGGGTCTTTGGGAAGGAGACCCTGGGCCGGGGGCTCTCCGGGCGCCTGAAGCTTCCTGAGGTATTTTGGTGGCAGGAGGAAGGAGGGGCTGGAGGCAGGGCAAGAGTCAGGGGTACAAGAGGTGGGTCCTGGGGGTTCTGTGCTGGGCTGGGAGGCCGGGGAAGGGGGTCTATACTTCTGGCCAGATAGGGTGGTGGGGGAAAGGACACAGGCCCAGCAGGGCTGCTGCTGTGGCTGCCACTGTTGCTGTTGCTACTGCTGGTGGTTGGGGTTGGGGGAGTGGGAGGGGTGTGAGAATCCTGAGTGCCCACAGAAAAGCGGGAGGCCGGAGGCCCCAAGAAGCCCTCGCGATGGGGGAGGGGTGGTGGGGCAGGGCGGGGGGGTCCCTCAGTCCCAAAGAAGAGCTCTTCTAAGATCTCTCCATCCTCTCGGGCTGCCCGGCAGGCCGGACCCTTCAACCAGGCAGGGGGTGGTGGGGGGCGTAAGAGGCGGGGACAGGGGGGTGGAGGGGGTGAGGAAGGTCCAGGTGGCAGGGATAGGTGGGGAGTGGCAGCGGGAGCCCCCAAGAACGGTTTCCGACTGCTGTGTGCCGAGGGCCCCAGGCGGCCATGGTGAGAGACCTCCAGCGCGGGAGTTTGGTAATGGTCAGCGCCGGGCTGCAAGTGTAGAAGCAGGTGGTAGGAGCATTGCTCGGGCTGCCTCAAGACAAGCTCCACCCATCCCCCCCTCCACCCTCAGTTGTCACTCACAATGCCTGGGTTCGGCTCCACGCCCCGGAGACCAGTGTTGCTGCTGCTGCTACTGCTGCTGCTGGTGGTGGTGCCGGGGAGGCCAGGGGGCCGGGAAGGGGCGTAAGGCACGCAGGCGGTGGTTGCTGCTGGTGAAACGCTGGAGTCCATCCGCGACCTCTGAACTCTGCTCTCTCTAAGGTCACTTCCGGGGGGACGGGTGGCAGGCAGGCAGCCATGGCTCTCTGCTCCTGGGGGGCGGGGGCCTGGGCCTGGGGGAGCAGCCGGGACCAGCCGGTGGCCAGGGGGGTGCGCGGTGTACGCTGGAGCTGGGTATGGATATGGGTGAGGCAGCGAGTGCCGCTGCTCCTATAGGAGATAAACAGGGATGCAGGATGAGGAATAGAGAGCGTGGGACTTGTAGGTGAGAGGTGAAAGGCAACAGGCAGGGGCTCACCTGGCGCTCTGGGGGTGCTGAACCCTTGCGCTCTGGGCCCCAGGCATCTCCATGCAGGGTACTCCACAGCCCTGGCTTGGTTAGCTGAAATGGGGGGCTGGTAGCCAGGCCAGGCAGGGGTGGTGGTGGTGGTGGTGGTGGTGGTGGTGGTGGTGGTAATGGTGGTGGAGGCAGTGGCAGCCCTGGGGGAAGGCCAGTCTAGGAGAGAAGAGAGTGTGAGAATCCCATTCCCAAGTCCTGCCTACTTACTGCCTGCTGGCCCCCCTATACCCACACCTGTTCAGAGTTGCAGCCTCTCCTTCGCTTGCCTCCAGGGCTGAGGCCCTCCTCCCCTGAGGGGCCTGAGAGTGCTGCAGGAGGCACAGGCTGCACCACTGGGGGTTCAGCAGCTCGCTTCACCGGGGGACCTCCCCGCTTGGCTCCATAGTTCCGTTTGTGCTGAGAACAAAAAGAGAGAAGAGAAAATGGCACGGGTGCAGGCACAGCCTGGCTCTCCTCCCTAACCCACCCAGTGCCAGCCTCACCTCAAGGTGTAGCAAGTTCCACACTTGCTCCAGTGGGGGCAGGACCTTGGCTCGGTGCTGGCAGGAGCCAGTATGAAAGTTCCAGAGCTGGGCCTGGGGGTGGGGGGACACGGGGCAGGGGCAGATGTCAGGTGGGGCACTGAGCCAGAAGGCACAATCGTACAATCCCGTCCCCCACGCCCTGCCTTCTCCTACCTGCTGCAGTCGGCCAATGCGGGGCCCCAGCTCAGCGAAGCTTCCTCCGTATCGAAGGGCGCTGTGGTAGCAGCGTGTGGCCTCCTCACTATCGTGCTCTGACTCGTACAGTTGCCCAAGCTGTTCCCAAAGCCCTGGCTGGGCTGGCTCCCGGAGCAATGCCTGCACACAGCCATGCAGGGATTCCAGCTTCCCATGGAGGGGTCTTGGAGTGGGCGCCCTACAGAGCAGAAGGGGTGGGGGTGTGGGTGGGGGTTGGGCTTGAGGGGACTCTTTCAAGGCCCCAGCCTTACCTCCCACTCCCAGAACCTTCAAATATCCACTCACCCTGGAGCATAATATGGTTTGCTGGGGTGCCCAGAACTACTGCCATGTGAAGGGGGTAGGGGAGCAGGAAGCGGGGGCTGCCCAATGCTGGCTGAGCATCTGGAGAGAGAAGGAGTCTGTTATATACGGCAAAAAGGAGCAGTCTTGTCCTACCTAGGCAGGAGGGGGCTGATGCACGGAAGCCCACAGAATGACAGGAACCCATGGAGAATGACACAGATTGAGGGATACAGAGATGGAAAGAGGTGTGCCTGGAGACAGAGGGCCCCAACTTCTCACCTGCCTCCAGGCAGCCATGCGCTACGAGGAGGGGGATGAGGCGGGCAGGAGCTCCAGGCCCCAGCACAGCTCAGGCCCCCAAGGGCAAAGGCTTCCCGTGCAGCGCGGGCCCCTGGAGGGTCCACTGCCCGATGCATCCAGCCTGAGTTGGGGATAAGAAATTATGCTCTTACTGGAGGCAAAACCAGAGCTGCCAGTGTACATCCAGCCAGCTCGGCCCCAGAGTTTCCCTTACCAGGTCAGCAGTGGCCCCAGGAGCCCTGGAGATTGGGCACGGCCCCCTGCCCCAGCTCTCTGGGACGATGGTCCGGCTCCAGCCGCTCTGATAAGAGTGCCCGCTACCCCCAGATGGCTGCCTCAGTCCTTTCACAGCCAATTCTAGAGAGAAGGAAAAGGAGTGAGACGAGCTGGCCAGCACACAGTCAAGGCCCAGGGGCTGGGATGGGCGGACTGTGGCATCCACCAATTTGTCATTTGTGCAAAGGGCCCGGCCTTAGCTTTCCCCAAAGGGAGGCCCGGCCCAACCACTCCCTAGAGGCCCAGGAGTGTGGCTGGGAGTCAGGACGTGTGTGGCAGGGAACCAAAAGGCCGGTCAGAGGGACGGGGTGGCTGCGCTGCCAGGCTTCCAGTCCGGAGCCACTGGGCCGACCCAAAACGCAGCGGCCGCTTACCCGGCCTCCGTGGGAGCGTCCTCACACCGCGTCGGCAAGCTCCAGAGATCTGGCCAATCACAGGACTTCCTCTCTCCCCAGAAAGCCAATCATCACCCGTGTCTCCGCCTCAGTAACAGCCTGGCCGGAACCAATGGGAGCGAGGTGAGCCCGGCAGCGGTGGCCGGGGGAGGAGGGGCGCGGGAGCCGGTCAGACGAGCTCAGCCCGGGGTGACCCCGATGTGACCCCGCGGCTCCCACCTAGGGTCCCCATCTAGGATCCGACACTCCGGCCGTCAGGGCCAGAAGGCAGCCAGGACAAGACGCATGCGGATGAGGCCGGTTAGTCGCATGCTCCGGCCGGCGTGGGGGCCGGCGCTACCCGCAAGCCTCAAGCACCCAGAGCCGCCGGTGGCCACGGCCAGGCTGCTCGAGTAGCCCCACGCCCGGCCACCGTAAGACCGACGGACGACAGACGGATGCAGAACGCAAAAAAGACGTCCCTCCCCTTCCTCACTTCACCTCGCCCAGTGACAGACCTCCCTACCCCGAGCGCCCCTATTAACTGCTTAGGGCTGGCCAGCCACAGCGACTTCCACGGCACCCAAACCCGTCCGCGCCGCTATCGGCGCTCCACCCCCAACGCCTGACCCCGACCCAAACCTTGGTCAAGCCCCCAGTCTCATACCCAGTTCCTCCAGGTCCTCTACTTCCCCTGGCTTTCTGGGTCTTCAATACCGACCGACCCCCAAAATCAGACCCCTTTTAGTCCCCCAACTTCCGAGAAGTCGCGCACCGCGGTCCCGAGTGGCCCCTCTCTCGTGGCTCGCGTATCCTCTCTGCCCTTCCCCGCCGGGGCCACGCGGTTCCCCACGGCCCACGTGGCCCCCGCCCCCCAAGGGAGGGGGGATTTCGGGGGTTGCCCGTGACGTGGCTACTTGCGCAGCGGAAGCGGTGTGTGTAAATGTACTGCGGGGGGGGGGGTCCTGAGGGAGGGAGGAGGGCGGGGCCCGACAGGCAGTGACATCACCCTTGTCCCACTCTCACCACCCACTCCCTTAAAGAACCCAGAACTCGTTTCACTTCCTCCTTCACGCCCCCCCCACCCTTTCGCTTTGGTGCCGACTGGACCCCCGACTGGCACAGCGCTCCCCTCTCTTGGGCACCTTCCCTTTAGCCCCAGCTCTTCCTTCTCGCCTCTCTGAGCCCAGGAGCTGCGTCCCCGCGCCTCCTCCTTGCCTACCCGGCGTCCCCGCAGGTAGGGAGCCGACTCGGCTCCCGGGATCGGTCCATTGAGAGTCTAGAGTACAAAGAGCAGCGAGAGGCGAGTGTCGAGTACAAAGCCGCGGGGGCGGGGCCAGCGCTCCAGCTGGAGCGAGCGCCGGGCAGGAAGCCGGGGGAGAGTGCGCGACGAGGGGCTGGGGGTGGCTGGAAAGTTCGCGTTCGTTGAGAGAAGTCTGCGCTGTGGGGAAATTT
This sequence comes from Homo sapiens, assembly GCF_000001405.40. NCBI lineage: Eukaryota > Metazoa > Chordata > Mammalia > Primates > Hominidae > Homo > Homo sapiens. The sequence continues at coordinate 7,843,565 of NC_000017.11, read as the reverse complement.
CCACCCAGCCCACAAGGGCAGACGGGTTTCTGGTGAAAAGAGCCTTCCTTCCCGAAGGGGCAAGGTCGTTTGTTTGCATGGAAGCGCTTGGACCCTACAGGTCCCTGCGTGCCACTCTCCGCCAAGCCCTTGTGGTCGCTTGGGCCCCGCGGACCCTCTCCGCGGTTCACGTGGTATTACTGTCAGAACTCTCTCCTCACTAGAGGCAGCATCCTTTCCATCAGTAACCAAGCCAGGTACGGCGCTGAACTGTGGTCAAGTATGGCCCTCCGTGACTGCCCCCACCCGAGTACCGAGGCAGGGGCGGGGAGGAGACCCAAGAACCAGACGTGGAGGGGGAGCCGGGGAACCAGACAACAGAGGGGCAGATGCCTGCTTGGGAAGTGGTCCCGAGAGCGCCGCCAGTTACCAGGAAAGGCAGCTTCCCCTTCGGCGATGATGACACTTCCCCTCTGCCACTTCCCCTTTCCCACGGGGAACTGACTCAGCTTTCCCTAAGTCAGTGAGTGCCGTCCCTCCAGCTCCCTGCTCTTCCACCTTTATCCACAAAGCCCCACGCCAGCACCCAAGAATACAAAGCCCTCACTTGAAGACAAAACTTCCTGTACACTAAACACACACTCATTCTCGCCAGCCACCTCGGATCCTTGTCCGCACCCGGGACCCAGGCGCTGGACTCCTCACTCGCCCCCCCGCCCCCCGTACAAAGCCCTCCCTCGGGGTCTGATTCAGGCTTGGGGTGGGGGAGCGTGAGTCACCCAGAAAACCTTCCCCTCTTCCCACTGACTCAGCCCCCGCCTCCCTGAACACACACAGACACACAGTCAGAGGCAGACACAACTCCTCAGCCCACACACCGGCTCACCACCGGTCCCGCGGAATTTCCCCTCTCGTCTTCCCCCACGATGGCCCCTCCCCGTGCCGGGCAGCCCCGACGCGGCGCTTGCACCTGTTCCCCAGTCGCCGCCAGCTCGCGCTCCACTCTCACCTCCACTCTCGCTCTGGGGCAAGAATAGCCCTCCCTGACTCCCGGTGTCTATACTAACCAAGGGAAGGGAACCACGGACAGGCACAAAGACTGACACCCACAGACTCCTCGAAGACAGGCGAGAGGTAGACGCACGCGGCCAGAGCCAGGCTGGGAGATCGATATACTTCTGAGGCAGACATTCCAGCCTCTCCCGACCCGACCCACAACCTCGGGAGCCAGCGGCTCTGAAAGGGTTAATTCCGCTCCCGCCGAGGCCACACCCTCTCCATCCGGGCACTCCCGGCGAAGCCCAGCTCCGCCCCCTCCATCCGGGCCCTGGACTCGGGACTTTAACCGACCCCCTACCCCCCGCCCCCGCTGGAGCCCCAAGAGAGAACACTCCATCAATCACACCCACTTAACTCTCTCTGGGCTTGAGCCGAGGAGCCCCTCCGCGCAGCGCCGCAGCCGCGCGGGACGCGTGGTAAGAGGCCTGAAGTGCGCACGCAAACTCACGTGACGGCCAGAGACAAGAGCCCGCAGATAGGGTTTTACCTAGCCGGCAATCAGCGGGCATGCTGCGCGCGCGCCGAGGTGGGGCGGTCCAGGACCCTCGTCGCAACCCGCTCCCTGCCCGTCCTCATCACGCCTGGTGGAAGCGAGGGGTTACACGCTCGCTTCTTACCTGGGGGAGGGGGAGGCGGAGGGGAGGGCCGCCGGCTGAGGCTCCGCTGTGACTCAGCCACCCGGGCAGGCCGCCCGCCCGGGATTCCCTTCCCCAGCCTTCCCCCGGCTGCCGGCCCCTCCCCGCCCCCCACCGAGGAGTGACGGTGCCGGCCCCGGCCCGCTATGTGTCACTGCAGGCCTTGTGTCTGCCTCTGACTGGGCGCTGTGTTCACCAGTCTGTCTGACACGGTCGGCTGTGCGTGGGTCCCGGTGTCTGTCTCCGCGTGCACCTGCATATCTGCTCATCTTGTCTCCCTCTGTGCCTGTGTCTGACGCGTTCCTGTCATTATCCCTGTCTACATGACTCCGCGGGGCTGTCTCTGTCTGTGTGTCTGCCTAGCTCCTGTCTCGGTCTTTTGTCTGGGTCTGCCTCTGCATCACTAGCGTGATCACGTGTGTCTCCGCACATGCCCTTCTGTGTTTGCCTTCATGTTACTGAACAGAGTCGGGGCGACACTGGCGCAGGCCCACCCTCCTGACTCCTTGCTACACTCCTCTCGATCCTGACGTCTCGCTGGATCAGTGATCATTCTGTCTGAGTCAAGAATTTGGAGGTCTGTCTGCCTTCAATCAAGTTCTGTCCCATCCCTCGACATCCCTGCTTATCCTCAGAGCTCCCTGTGGCTCCCACTGTGGTGATAACTGCTAGCATTTTGTGAATATTTGTTACATGCCAGGCACTGTATTAAGTATTTTACAAGCATTTCTTTTACTCCTCCCCAAAACCTGACATAGGAGGTACTCTGATTACCCCCATTTTACAGATGAGGAAATTGAGGCCCAGAGAGGCTAGGTGACTTGGCCAAAGTCATTCTGCAAGTGAAGAATGAAAGAGCTAGGCTTCTTTCCAGAGCCACATTCTTACCACTCTTATGTACTGCCTCTGTCCTACTCTCCCTCCCTTGGTTTTATCCTCACAGGCCATCTCCTGGGTCAACCTTCCTTTCAGCTCTACCCATGTTACCATCCCCAATGTCTCACGTCCTCTAGAGGATAAAGTAGGAGGCTGTGCAGCAAATCTCAGAAGTCATAGGTTCTTCATAATGAAGCTCATTCAGTTAACATTATTCAACACAAATCCACCATGCACCCCAATGTGCAAAACATCAAGCAAAATAGTGAGAGACACATAGAAGAAAACAGTCCCACTCGAGAAACCCCATATGTAATGAGGAAGAACAACACAGAGAGAACTTAAGCCCCTGGCTTAGGGATTATCTTCCCTTTTCTCCTACAAAGGAATGGGAAATAAAGCAGGGCCTCAGGCAGAGAACTGACAGAAGGAGAGAGGGAAGCAGAAGAGTAAGACTTAGGTATGGGGGCAAATGCTATAGTGCAGTGGGGAGAGAATGGGACTGAAAGAGATCTGGAAGGAAAGGTGAAATGCCAAGACTGCTGTGGCTGGCAGTGATCTCCACTATCTCCCCAAATAAATTCTGAACACCCTCCAAAAGCCAGGGTGTTCAACAACTCCTATAGGGACAAAGCTGTTTCCCTACCAAGAAAAAATTCCTCCAGGGTAGCTCATATCCACTTTTCAGCTTGCAAACTCCCTCTTCATTTCAATAAGCAACTGAGTTGTAGCACTAGGGAGATAGTGGGGAAAAGATTTTTTGGTAGTAGTGGAGAGGCTGGTGAAGTACAGGGCTGAACCATTTATAGGAGATAGAAGGGAGGTCCATAAACCAGGAGGGCTGAACCACTCAAGCACCACATGGTGGGGTGCTTAGAATTGGACTGGACCATTCTGAAGAGTGGGCATGATCCAGATCATACCGAGCATCTCCAACCATGTGGTGCAGAGTTAGACTGCTGAGGAGAGAGGGTCACTCAGACAGGACTTACCAGATGGAGTTTGGTGTGCCCTGTCTCATTGGAACCACCACCCCAGCAGTGGGGTACAACAGACCACAGTGGGTGGGGTGGGCAGTGCTACGGGGCTGGCATGTTGCCCTGGGGGGAACCTAAAAGAAAAAAGTCAGTTAGAGGTGGGGGTCTTCCAGGATGGAGAATTTTCCTGGGCTCCCTGCCCCCCTCATTAAGGAGAAACCTGGCTCTGGTGGTCAGATATGATGGGAGAATCTTGTTTCCATGGCAACCAGAAAAAGCCATCCCCAAAGTGGTCATCCAACCTTCCCCTTTGGGAAGCAGGCTCGATCAGTTGGTAAGGGGCCATGATATGGCATCTGAGTAAGTCTACAGTAGACCCCAAACCCGTGATCCCTCTTCTGACAGGACGCTCCTGCTGAGACTCCCTGGCCTGAGTCGCCCCAGCTGCCCTGACATCTGTACACAAGCCAGCCTGAGTCCTAGCACCAGGGCATGCAGACCCTCTTCCTTCAGCTCTGTGTCCTCTCCAACCTTATCAAGACACCAGACAGTCAACCCCACCCTCTGGACTCTGCCCCCTCTTCTTCCCCCAGGCGGGTGCAGGCAGGTCTTGGCTAGCAGCACAGGTAGCCAGACTAGATGAACGGGCCCAACAGGGAGGGGCCATCCTCCCCTGCAAGAACTCTGACTCTGGGCCTAAGCCTGGAAGTAGCCTCCACTGCAAGCCTCCCCTCCCTGCCAACCCCAAGGCAATATCCTGTTTCCCCATCACCTCCTTCCTCTTATGTGGCCTAAGAAGGTGATACAGGCCCACTCCCTTCCCAACCCTCATAGACAAGAAGCTAGGTCTTTTAGCATAAGTCCAAGGCCAAGAATCAGGTGTCCATCAGGGGTCAGAGCTAAGTTGGCCCTCACCTCAGACTCGCTCCTCAGGGACCTATGTTTTCTGCTCCCTTAATCATAGTTCTCTGCCCTTATGGACCCAAACACTTGGGGTCCCAATCTAATCTCTATATTCCCTAGCCTTCCGGCCCCCATCCTTCCCCTTGCCTCAGAGACTCAGGCCTCTAGCCCCCAGTCTCCATGATGCAATGTTCCGCAAGCTTCTGTGGCTGCTGATGACACTGCCCCCAGGGAGGTGCTATTTGTGACCCACCAAGGCCTCCTTCCTAAGCCAGGGTAGTGGTCAGCTGTAGGTGGTAGAGGTCAGGCAGGCAAGGCCCTTCTGCTCGGGAAGGGAGCTTCAGGCTAGAACTCTCCAGGACAGGGAGGCTCATAACCTGGGAGCAGAGAGTGTGTATCTATAGTCTGTGGCATCTGTGTTCTGCGGTTGTGCTGGGGGGAGGGACTAGGAAAGGGCTAGTCGAGAGCAGAGTGGGCAGACTTTAGGACAGACCAAGAGGAGGAGTGAGGGGGAAGCCTAGGGGGTCAGAGGGTGTGTGAGGGGTGTCTGGACAACAGAGTGGGGGAGGGGCTAACAGCCATTTAAAGGGCCAGCCCCAGAGCTTTAATCCCTCACCAGCCCTGGCCCCAAGCCGGAGGCTGTAATTCATCTGTCCAACAGCTGGGGTGTGTGTGTTTGTGTGTGTGTGGGGGGGGGGGCTTCCTCCCCCTTCTATTCCCTCCCTCCTCCTCCCCGTCCCTGAGTCCCGGAGTCAAACAAAGAACTGTAGCAGGCTCTCCCCAACCCCCTCCCTCCTCCTCCTCCTCCTCCTCCACCTCCTCCTCCCCTCCCTCCCTCCCCACCAGCAGGCTCCCTCCTCCTCCCTTCCGGTCTCTTCCTTTAACTACCCGCCCCCCCAGCCCCCAGCACTAGTCTCTCTCCACCCACCCACCCCAACCTTTTACACACCCCTCAGCCTAGCCCTGTCCCCACTAGAGAAACTGTGGAGTCCCTCTGCAAAACGAAAGGCTCCAGAGATCAACACGGGAGGGGGCTGGGGTCTTGCTTCAAAATCAAGAACCATAATACAATTATTTTATTTTCAAGGCCCACGGAATAGTCTTAGCTATTTCTTGTCCAAGAGAAAAAAAAATAATCCTAAAGAAAGCAATACAAATCTGCCTAAAGCCTTCATCAAATAAAATGCACAAAGCAGTTGAAGCTAATCCCCAGCCCCCTAACCCCAATCTCCAAATTAACACAAACTATCCACTACCCCTTAACAAACTCCTACGGTTACCGCTGGTTTGGAGCAGACCCACAGCAATAATAATAAACTAGTAACTAACACCATTTAATAATAAAAGTATTTCATAACAACAAGCACTCATTCTGTGTTCATTCTGTGCCAGGCACTGTGCTAAGTGATTTGCATAAATTATCTCATTTTTTTCCTCCCAGCGGCCTTCAAGGTAGGTGTTGATATTTAAATGTTCAAGATTAACATACGAGGCTCAGAGAGGTTCTGACCTCTCCAAGTCCTAGTAGCCACTAAGTGACAGAGCTAGAATTAGAATCCAGGTCTGATCTGACAGCCCAAGCTCTAAGGTACATAAAAGCACAAACCGATTCATTCCAATACCATCACCAACCCTGGGACTTAATAGAGAAGAACAACCATAGCAATCAACTGAGTCCCCCTCCACCAAGTGAGAGGCTACAAACCGATTCACCCGCATACACACAATAAAGACCCTGACTTTTCAGCCTAATACTGTTTCTTGACCCTTTTCCTTTCATTGTTTGCAGATGGGGGTGTGCCATTATGGGGATTTCAGGGATAAGCTGGTGTGTAGTGAACCCCCCCCCATACTACACACAACTCTTCCGTCTTTCAACCACTCCCACTTCAAATCAATCTGGGGAAGGGGGCAATAGGACACTTGGCCATGCAGCAGGTGGGAAAGTAAAATGACGGCTAGGTAGCTTTTTCTATGGGGGCGGAGCCTTGGAGGGGAAGCTCTTCTGTGCCAATCTAGGGAAAAGTGACCCAAGGCTCCCTCAGCCCAGCAAAGGGGCAAAGTCTTTCAGCCACACCACACCCGTGCCCCTCCCCCTCACAAAACTCCAGGCCGGGGTTTCCCACCTGCAGGATGCTAAGACCACGGGAAGGGAGAGGGGAAAGAGATGGCACGGGACTGGAACTGGACTCGGGGCAGAGGTGGGAGGGAATAGAAGGGGGAGGAAGCCTCATTGCCTGGCAACCATCCCGGGGCACGTGCACTAGTGACATCATCCCAGGCCACCTCTAACACAGACCTTTGACCCCTACGGGGCGGAGTGGGTGTGCTGGCTAAGCTTCCTGGAAACACTGGAAACACCCTTAGGAATTCTGGGAACCCAAAAAGGAGACATAAGAAGAAACCCAGGCGTCCTTATCTCTTTTACCCCTAATACGACTCCAATCCCAGGGACTCAGGCCTCTTGCCTGTCTCCTCCTCTCCGCCTGCAGCCCTGACCTCCCAACCCACATTTCTGACGGGAGTCGGCCCGACACGCCCCTCGGAGATACTGTGCCTTCTCTCTCCTGGGCGAGATCTCGGTGGGGGCCGGCAGGCGGGGACGGGGGCACCGGGTCCCGCGGGGCTCCGTCTTCCATCTGCAGGATCCCCCGTGCCCCAGCCGGCCGCCAGCCGGAATCTGTCTGGGTCCCCAACTCTCCCGCCCCTCCCCGCGCTGTTCCAGGGCGGAGTCTGTGGAGTTGAAACCAGGACACGGCGAGAGGAAGAGTTATATAACCGGGAGAAGCGAAGAAGGACGAGTGGAGACAGGGACAGACAGCCCGAAAGGAGCCGAGGGAGGTGCAAAGAACGCCGGGGCGAACGAGGAGGAAACGTTAGGAATGGGAAGGGTTTTGGTGCACATCAAAGAGCAGGAATTCACGCGAAGAAGGGGCGTGATGGCCCAGAAGAATCACCTGGGCCGTCCGGGGCTTCCCCGCAGTGCCCTCCTCCGCCACCAACAGCAGCTGGGCCCGGGCGGGAGAAGCCTTGGGAAGGGGCGCTGGTACCCGCTCGCTTTCTCTTGGGAAAGCAACTTAAGCCAGAGCCCGGGAAGGCAGCGGCCGAGCAGATGGGGCCGGAAACCACAGCTCCGCCCAGCCCACCTGGGAGTGTGGGGCGCCAGCTGGGGGGAGGTGGGGAACAGGTAGTCGGCCCTCCCGAGCCAGGCTGGGCATTATGGTCGCGACCGGCGAAACGGTGCAGACCGACCGAGACGTGTGGGTCCCCAGGGGCTGAAGAGCGCAGCCTCAGGCGGCTTTACACAGACTCCACGAGGGGAGGGGGGCGCCCGGCTCGCCGCGCAGGCGCAAGGGGGTGCTCGGGCGCGTGCGGCGCAGGGCGGGGGGTGGGCGCGAGCGTGTGGGAGTGCACGTGCGGGTCCCAGGCAGCTGCTGCCTCCCAGCCTCCGCCGCTGCCCCTCCCCTCTCCCTTTCCTGTCGCTATCATCCCCCTTCCCCATTGGCTGCCAGGGCCCTGACGTCAGGGCCGACCGCTGGAGCGGATTGGGCGGACGGGAGAGTTCGGGAATCCGGCTCCCAAGTCTCGCCCTCCAGTTACTCTGGCAACAGGACAAGCAACCCAGGGGAGGGAAGGGGAGCCGAGGTCAACGCTGCGCCTCGGTCCCTAACCCCCTCCGGACAACCACCGAGTCCCCTTCGGTCGCGGCGCAGCTCGCTACCTCCCCGCCTTCCTCCCAGGGCTCTTCCTGTCCCGGGAACCAGGCGTCCTGCCCTCGGCCTTCCCCACAGTCTTCAGGCCCTCCGCTGTCTCTAACCCCCACCAGTGTCACAACATAAGCTGCAGCAAACAGGAAGCGAATCTACGTCGCTTAGCAACCACCCCGCGTGCCCCCCTCCCCACTATTTACCCCAGCCGGGAGAGGCGGAGATTGAGTCCCCAGCCCCCTCCCCGTCTTCTGCGCTGCGACCTCCTGCCCACAATTTCCTGTGAGGGGGCCCAGATCACAGGAAGTCAAGTGGGGGCCTCAGCCTACCTTTCCCTCGGACCGGGGCGGGGGGCTTCAGCTACTTTCACGGTCACATCCCCCACCTGCCCTGGGTGCGTCTCGCCCTCGCCATCTTGTGGCTACGTTGGGAAGGCTCCGCACCGAGAAGCCGTGCGGGGCGCGCTAGGGTTCGGGAACGGCGGAGTGGGAGAAGGACTAGGGATGAGGAGGCTAGCGGGGCGAGACGGAGTGAAAGGGAGGCGCAGGGGGGTGGTGGGAAGAAGGCGAAGGCTACCGCTGGGAAGCTCTCGGGGCCGCTGGTGGGAAGGTCAGGCTGAGGCTTCTACACCTCACCCGTGCAGAGAACTGGAGGGAGACTTAAAGTAGTCCTGGGACCGGGACACACCCAAGTCTGACCACATCTGACCTTACTGGGCCATGGCATTGACCTGTCTGCAAACTCTGCCCTTTAGTCCTGCCCTTCAGTAAGGACCGCCGCGCCCCGCCCCGCCCCGCCCTGGAGTCGGGAAGGGGAATCCCAGCCCAAGGGGAACGGGGAGTCCTTTCAGGCCCCTCTGGACATTTGGAACCTGAGACATCTGCCTCCCAGTTCTTCCTCCTTCCCCGCCGTTCTCTCTTCTAGGGGACCCATGACCTCCGCCCCAGTCTTCTTCCCAGTGCCCTTCCCAAGACCCAAACGTCCATCCCCAGCTCTACCCCTCCAGAGACTCAGGCGTCCTGCCCTGCTGCAAGGAGAGGGTTTCCCTCTTTACAGACGTCCTCGCGGCTCCCCGTTACCTGGTTCTGGGGGGGGTCCCAGGTGTTCAGGCTCCCCAAGGTATCCCAGGGGGTCGAGCGGCCCCCCCTTCTCCCAGGCCGGGGCTGGGGGGGCCGCTCCGCCCAGTGGCGCAGTTGGATTTTCCAACACAAACACCCGCACCCCCGCTCCCCAGCCCCGCCCCCTTGTGGTCCCGCCCCTCCTCGCGCTCTAGTCCCCCTCTCCGGCTCCGCCCCGTCTTCTGCCGGTCCCGCTCGCCTCAGGGCGGGTGCCGGCTAGGATGCCGGGTGCGGGGTGCGGGCTTCAGGGTGCGGGCCTCAGGGTGCAGTGTACGGGGTTCAGCCCTGATCCCTGCCTGACAAATCCCTACTCATTTGGATCACGCGCCCTTCTAAGGTAAGCCCCGCCCCACCCACTGAAGTCCTGCCCGGAGACTTAAGCCACAGCCTCTTCAGGCGGCTCCGCCCTGCCCATTCGTTCAGGGCCACGCCTCCGTTCCGCTCCAGGCCGCCCCACCTCCCTCGCTTCTTTCCCCGTCCAGTAGCAGCTCCGCAGTAGCTCTGTCCTCCGTGAGGCCTGGGCTTCCTCCCTCCCCAGACCCTCACCATTGCATTGAGAGACTTAAGGCTTGTTGTCGCGGGTGTTTTACAGCACTGAGCTCCAATACAACTCTTTCACTTTTATGGCTAACACAACTAGGTATCTCCAGGGCCACATCACACAAATTCGGCCAAGGTCAAAGTCTGAGTGAGGTCCGGCCTCAGTCCTAGGTGCAACATCTGTCTTAGCTCCTGGAGTCCCTGACCCTCTCTCTCAAGCGGAGAAGAGGAGGAGGTCTCAGCTGTCCAGGCTCATGAGTAGAGCAGTGCCCCTCTTGATCCAATGATCAGGTGTCATGGCCCCAGACCGCAGGTCAATGCCGATGACAAAGGAGGCTCGGTCTGAGCTGCCTGCCCGGTTGGGATAGTAATAGCAGGGGCAGGAGTACATGCCTGGGGGAAAGGAGAGGAGAAGTCAGACCCCTGGAGCCTCCGGGAGAGCAGGGCAGGAGCAGGGCAGGAGCGGGTGTGGGATGGGCTGGAGCAGAGAATGGGTTAAGTTCCAAACTAGGGACGGGGCAGGCAGGTCCTGCCTGGGGAGCTGTCCCACCCTTGGCGCTCTTCTTGCGGCTCTCTGCAGGCCGGAAGTGGATCGTGGGCATGAGGCAGACAAGCTGCATGGGCTCTGCCTCCACCAAGCAGGAGTTCTTCCGGTCCCAGCCAGCACCTTCCAGGTACAGGCCCCGGACCCAGACACCATCCTGGGGAGAAATGGGAGCAGGTCTGGGAGAAGCTAGACTTCAATTGCCAGCGCCCCTGACCTGCTCCCTCTCTCCTCCCTTTTCGTCCAATTATTTCCAGTACCCTCTTTTGCTCAGAGCCCCAAGCACAACTGGCTCCCACCTTGGGGGGATACACTAGGTTGCTGTCATCCACAGTGGAAACGATAAACTCCCAGGAGAGGCTGTCCACTGAAACCTGGGGGTTGAAGGTGAGAATAAGAGAGGACCCTGAAGAGGAGAACACATACATGGCCCCAGCATACATCCCCCCCTCACACTTTGCACATTGCTCACGTTGTTTTGGCGAGCTGAAGACTGCAGCACAGCAGTGAGGAAGCCAGTGGGAAAGGTGAAACCAGACAACCAGAAGATCACAGGAGGCCGGGCCCGGCTGGCCCACAGCTCAAACTGCTCCACACGCATGGCCAAGTCCCGGGTCCAGGCAGCCAATGGCTTTTGTGAGGGGTATGCCTGGGGAAGGAGTGCGTGTGTATTCACTCATTTAGCCGTGCATTCAAATCCGTATTATTTATTTATTTAGAGACAGAGTTTTGCTCTTGTCCCCCAGGCTGGAGTGCAGTGGTACGATCTTGGCTCACTGCAACCTCCACCTCCCAAGTTAAGCTATTCTCCTGCCTCAGCCTCCCAAGTAGCTGGGATTACAGGCGCCCACCATCACGCCCGGCTAATTTTTGTATTTTTTTAGTAGAGACGGGGTTTCACCATGTTGACCAGGCTGGTCTCAAACTCCTAAACTCAGGTGATCTGCCCGCCTCAGCCTCCCAAAGTGCTGAGATTGCAGGCATGAGCCACCGCGTCCAGCCCAAATCCTTATTTTGAGCACCTGAAGCAGATATGAGAAGACTATGTGGTGGCAGCCCCTGTTCCCCAACTACAGGTGAACAAAGCTCTCCAAAGCCAACTTCTAGGAAAGAGGCATACAACGACAGCTATTCATTCATAACAATGACCGCAGTAATATTAACCAGGTAGCATTGATGAAGCACCTACTGAGTGGTAGGCACAATACTGGGAATCTCTGAAACATCCTTGGAGAGGTTAGTAATTTTCCCTGAGTGAGTCTGTAAGTTAATAAGTTGTATGAAGTCAGTCAATGAATGGCAGAGCCAGGTTTTAACCTTGAACCTATCTAACTTCAAAGTTTCGGCTCTCTGCAGTTTGCTTTATGCCCACCTAGAACCAGGAGATTGGGGGGCCCAGGATTGAGAGGGGAGCTCATTGTTGGAGAAGGATCAACAATGGTATAATCTTGCCTTTCCCCAGAGCGGAGGAACATGGGCATCAAAGATGCAATTGAAAATCTCTTCCAGGCTTGTAGACATGACGATGAGACCCTGGATGCCTTTCTCTAGGTCTGTCAGTGAGAACCTGAGCAGGATGAGGTGGAGTGTTAGAGATGAGGTGGGCCTGGGAACGTCATTCTAGCCAGAAGGCAAAGGCTTCTCCTCACACCCTCCCCTGTTCCGCAGAGTCCCCCTCTGTCTTACAGGATGGTCTGCATCAGTGTGTTGTATCTCTGGATCTCCTGCAGAAGGACCACATTGAGGGGGGAGGGGTCGAGAGCTAGCAGTTTTTGAGTCCCCTCATAGTCGATCATTTCAGGGATCTTCTGCTTCACATCAGCGGCCAACTCAAGGACCTGAGCAGGCAGGAGCTCTTGAGTGTAGCCCCCTCTTCTCATCACTTTCCCTCCCCCAGGCCCGGCTCTTTTTACCTTCTCTTCCCGGGTCTGGCCTCCAGCCCTGGTGGGTGTAATCTGAGGTTGCAAGGAAAGCAAAGTATCAAAGAGGGTTTGTGCCTCAGTGATCTGAGAGGCCACATCAGCATTGGGGTGCTGGCCAAAGGCCTCAGGGGGGTCCATGCCAGGCAATAAGCTGATGTATTCCTTGTAAGAAGCGAGGCTGCCATCCTTGGGGATGAAATAAGTCTCCAGTGCTGACAACCTAGGGAGTCATAGCATAATTACTGCCACATTGTGGGGACTCAGCCCTCAATGCCAGGCCAAGACCCCAAACCTATGCATGTCCAATTTGTCCAGCTCCCTGCCCTGCTCCCCATCTCAATCCCACAAACTCTGTCTTCTTCCAATCTCACGTCCTCTCCTCAAACATTACCCCCACCCCTGATCCCACCACCTGGCTGACTTGTGACCTCTGGCTCCCTGTCCAGGGCCACCTCCCCCTCACCGGTGGAAGGGAGTTGATAGAGACTGGTCACAGAAATAATCATTGATGTAGGTGGTCAGCAGGCGCCGGTCCCAGTCATCTGTGACATGTCCACCATAGTTGATGCCGGCAATGAGGTACTTAAGTGCGTCCCAAGGTGTCTCCTCGTACTCATCGAGATAGAGGCTCAGCAAGTTTTCTGACACCTAGGCATGATCCCAGCCCAAGCCCCCATTCCCAGAGTTATGGCAGGAAATCTGCCAATGGGGCTTCAACACAGGCTTTGTGTCCACGGATATTCCCACAGGGGAGCCATGGGGTAGGACGTGTAAGGAGAGAGGGCTGGGATGAGGACCCCTGGCTAATGCAAACCTCAAAGTCGGAGTCATTGAAGCCATAGATGATGTTCCAGCCAAGCTGCAGGAACTTTTTGCGTTCAAGTAACACAGAGTGGAAGAAACAGAGTGAAAACAGCAGCTTCTTATATTTGGCAGGTTTGGAGCAGCGGGAAAACTGTGGTTCTGACATCAGTTGGTAAAGACGTGTCATGTTGGCCTTTAGGCCCTGGGGACAATGAAATATAAAGATGGGGTGACATGCATCACACTCAGACCTGCCACTAGCACTGCCATGTACAGTTGTGGAGGTTCTTCATTGCACAAAGGCACTGGCTGAAAGGGTGAGTGGAGGCTGAAATGTAGCCGTTGATCTACATGCCAAGATCTACATTCTTCCACAAGGCTGAGTGCCTTTCTCTAATTCACAGATAGGCATTGTATGGGCTTGCGGCAGCCCTGCCTTCTTGTCCCACCACTTTTTTTTTTTTTTTTTTTTTTTGAGACGGAGTTTCGCTGTTGTTGCCCAGGCTGGAGTGCAATGGTGTGATCTCAGCTCACTGCAACCTCTGCCTCCTGGATTCAAGCGATTCTCCTGCCCCAGCCTCCCAAGTAGCTGTGATTACAGGCGCCCACCACCATGCCCAGCTAATTTTTTGTATTTTTAGTAGAGACAGGGTTTCACTATGTTGGCCAGGCTGGTCTCAAACTCGTGACCTCAAGCAATCCACCCGCCTCGGCCTCCCAAAGTGCTGGGATTACAGGTGTGAGCCACCGCACCCAGCCATCCCACCACTTTTGATCCTCTCGGCCCTGATGTTCTCAGTGGTAGGTAGGCCAGCACAATTTGGGGTGCCAGAAAAATGAACAAAGATAAGTACATATACGTTCAACTAACAAAAATGTACGGAATTGCGTGCAAAGGTTAGTGTAGATTAAAAAGTCCATAATATATCATCAAGGAAGAACAGTCTATGTGATTGGCATTATTAGTCTCCATGAGCAAGCTGGGATTTGAACTAAGCCTTCCAAATGGGAAGGATATGACTAGGCTTGAGAGGAGAGTCTTACTTTCCTGGAGATGCAAGGAATTGAATAAAGGCACCGAGGACAGAATAAAGTGACAGGGTGAGCCTGGCTGAAGTCAAGTGCAAGTGCTCAGGTGGGAAGAGGAGGGCCGTGGATAGATGGAGATGCAATAAGAGTAATGGATGTGTGGCCAGGCGCGCTGGCTCACGCCTGTAATCCCAGCACTTTGGGAGGCCGAGGTGGGCAGATCAGGAGGTCAGGAGTTTGAGACCAGCCTGGCCAATATGGTGAAACCCCTCTCTACTAAAAATACAAAAATTAGCCAGGCGTGGTGACACGCACCTGTAGTCCCAGCTACTCGGGAGGCTGAGGCAGAAGAATCGCTTGAACCCAGGAGGAGGAGGTTGCAGAGCGCCACTGCACTCTAGCCTGGGTGACAGAGCAAGACTCTGTCTCAAAAAAAAAAAAATAATAATAATAATGGATGTTTGAGCCATTTGGACTTGATTCACCGGGCATCATGGAGCCAGTCTCTATCTTGAGTAGGACAGCAATCTGTTCAAACAGCGTTTTAAAAAGACTTATCTATGACTGACAGAATGGAATAGTGAGAAACTTGAGGAATACTGGATAGCAGTAACAAAAATAACATGACTTTTTAAAAAATGCCACTTATGACATCAAGATATGTCAAGTACCAAGAAATAAATCCAATTAAAATGTATGATTATTTACGGAGAAAATTACAGAATTTTAGGCCAGGCATAGTGGCTCACACCTGTAATCTCAGCACTTTGGGAGGCCAAGATGGGAGGATCACTTGAGCCTAGGAGTTTGAGACCAACCCAGGCAACGTAACAAGACTCTGTCTCTATTTAAAAAATAAAAAATAAAAAAAGAACATTACAGAATTTTATTAAAATAAATAATAAATGGAGGCTGGGAACAGTGGCTCATGCCACCCGCAATCCCATTGTGCTATGATTGTACCACTGCACTCCACCTGGGCTATAGAGCAAGACCCTCTCTGTCTAAAAAAAGAGGAAAAAATGAATAAATGGAGAAATATACTTAAAGATTAGGAGTTTCATTGTTCTAAGGATGTGAATTTTCCCCAAACTGATGAATAGAATTTTTTTAATAGAACAAACAAATTCTAAAATTTATATTGAAGAATAAAAGGTCAAGAATAGCCTGAAGAAGAATAAGGTAAGAAGATGTGCCTTACCAGCCATCAAGAATTATTATAAAGCTATATGGTAATTAAGACTAAAGTATATCAGCATGGCACTGTGGGTTACACCTGTAATCCCAGCAGTTTGGGAGGCTGAAGTGGGAGGACAGCTTAAGTCCAGGAGTCCAAGACCAGCCTGGCCAACATGGTGAAATCCAGTCTCTACAAAAAAACACAAAAATTAGCCAGAGTGGTGGCACACACCTGTGAGGTGCAGGTGGAAAGATTGCTAGAGCCTGGGAGGCAGAGGTTGCAGTGAGCCAAGATGGTGCCAGTGCACTCCAGTCTGGGCCACAGAGTGAGACTCCATCCCAAACAAACAAACAAACAAACAAAGACTAAAGTATTGATTCCAGGATAAAACAATTTGACCAATGAACAGAATAAAGGACCCTGAAACCCATACATATATGGAAACATGATTGAAGGCTGAGCAGGCACTACAGATCAGAAAAGTACTTTCGCAGTATTTGAGAAGTGGTACTGGGAGAATTGGTTATCCATGTAGAAAAAAAAAATTGGCTGGGCGCAGTGGCTGATGCGTGTAATCCCAACAGTTTGGAAGGCTGAGGCGGGTGGATCACCTGAGGTCAGAAGTTCGAGACCAGCCTGGTCAACATGGTGAAAC
Source organism: Homo sapiens (assembly GCF_000001405.40). Lineage (NCBI taxonomy): Eukaryota > Metazoa > Chordata > Mammalia > Primates > Hominidae > Homo > Homo sapiens. Next base: position 7,827,637 of record NC_000017.11, on the reverse strand, counting down.
CCCGTCTCTACAAAAAATAACAAAATTAGCTGGGTAGGGTGGCAGGTGCCTGTAATCTCAGCTACTCAGGAGACTGAGGCAGGAGAATCGCTTGAACCTGGGAGGCAGAGGTTGCAGTGAGCCGAGATCACGCCACTGCACTCTAGCCTGGGTGACAGAGCAAGACTCTGTCTCAAAAAAAGCAAAACAAAACCAAAGAAAATTGGACCTCTACCTCATACCACAGTCACAAAAATGAATTCCAAGTGATTAAAAACTTAAATGTGAAAGTCAAATTATAAATTTTTTGGAAGGCAAGTATAGGAGAGTACTTTTACAATCTTTAAGCAAGGATTTCTTGAACAAGACAAAGGAGCACAAACCATTTAAAAAAGGAAAGATAGCTAAATTCAACCTCATAAAAATTAAGAATTTCTCTTCACCAAAAAACAGCATAAAAGAGAAGAGACAAACCACAAAACACATAACTGACAAAGGATTAGGATCTGGAATATATGAAGAACTACAAAACGCGAAGAACATCATGAATGAATGTCAAGCACATAATGTTGAATGAAAAAAGCAAGTTGCAGAGAAACATATATAGCAATGGTTGCATTAGCAATACAAACTTTTGCATTACAATGAAAAAGAATCCCTAACTCCAGAGGAAAAGAAAAACATTATAAAGAAAATGACAAATACAAGATTCAGAAGAGTGGTTTCCTCTGAGTGGGGAGGGAAAGTGATGAGATTGGGAAGAGGCACACTGGGACTTCAAAGAAAATGCTGGGATTTTTCTTTCTTAAAAGGATGATGGGCCGGGTGCGGTGACTCATGCCTGTAATCCCAGCACTTTGGGAGGCCGAGAGTAGGCAGATTGCCTGAGGTCAGGAGTTCAAGACCAGCCTGGCCAACATGGTGAAACTCCATCTCTACTAAAAATACAAAAATTAGCCAGGTGTGGTGGCGGGCACCTGTAATCCCAGCTACTCGGAGGCTGAGGCAGGAGAATCGCTTGAATCTGGGAGGCGGATGTTTCAGTGAGCCGAGATGGCGCCACTGCGCTCCAGCCTGGGCGACAGAGTGAGGCTCCATCTCAAAAAAAAAAAAAAAAAAAAAAGATGATGGGCACACAGATATTCAAGGAATCATGATCCTTTATAACTTGCATATATTTTATAAATCTTCTTTTGTACCTACTTAATATCTAGCTTTTTTAAAAGACTGGATAGCAGGAAGTGACCCAGGAATATACTCCAGGACTATATCCCAAACTGGCAACTGGGGGCTGTGAATACAGGGACTTTCTTATTTGAAGTAAAACTCAGGCTGGGCACGGTGGCTCACACCTGTAATCCCTGTAATCCCAGCACTTTGGGAAGCCAAGGTGGGTGGATCACCTGAGGTCAGGAGTTCGAGACCAGCCTGGCCACCATGGTGAAACCCTGTCTCTACTAAAAATGCAAAAATTAGTAGGGCGTAGTGGCGCACACCTGTAGTCCCAGCTACTCAGGTGGCTGAGGTAGGAGAACTGCTTGAACCTGGGAGGCGGAGCCCAGGCTGCAGTGTAACAGCGCAATCTCAGCTCCCTGCAACCTCCACCTCTAGCCAGGGTTATCATACCTGAACTCCATATCTAACCTTCCTGAGCTCAGGTGATCCACCTGCTTCAGCCTCCCCAAATGCTAGGATTACAGGTGTGAGCCATCACACCCGGCCTGAGCCACCATGCCTGGCCAAGACGCTTTCTAAAAAAATATCCTGCCTCTAAACGTAATCACATTCTGAGTCTTGGGGGTTGGGACAAAAAAGTGTGAAACGAGTTGCTATTATGGTGCTGGTGTGCCAAGAAGTGCTTTGTAATCTGATGGCAATTCAGAGCTGGCACTGACTTTGGGGCTGATGCCAGAGATGGGATTAGAGTTGAAATCATGAAAAGGACAATTTCTCCAACAACTTGTGAAAGGAGAAAGTAGAATGAGAAACGCTGGGCCAGGACCAAGGGTCCCTCCCCTCTTTGGCCCTCCCCTCTTAGTCCTTAGGTTAAGGAGTAAGTATTGCAATCTGGTCACAGGCAGAGGAAAAAGAAACACCGAAGTAATAAATGATATGTCAAAAGACAGCGGGGAAAGCAGGAGTGATGTGTCAGGGAGCCAGGGAAAGGGACAGTCGACTGTGACAGCTGCCCCAAGTGGCCAAGGAGGATTAATAATGATGAAAGGCACCCATGCGTGATTCAAACAGCTCTTATCTGTTGAGGATGATACATACTGGTCCATGTGCTTTTCACAGGGTGAGCAAAAAGGATTTTGATCTCAACTAAGCGCAATGAAAAGCTACTAAAATAGTTTAAGCAGGGGTGAGTGGGTGAAGCGCAGTGACACGGCAGATTTTAGAGGGTGGTGATGATTGCATTTGGTGATGAGCTTGTGATATTGGAGATAAAAATTTCAGTAGAGTCGGAGGAAAGGAAAGGCAAAGAGGCAGGAAGTGTGACATTCGGAAGAGGATGTAAGGAAATGATGGGAGGCAGGAAGGTTCTGAGGTATAAAAGAATGAATTTGGGGACCCAACTACCCAAACTCTGGCTCTGGAATACTTATTTACTCTTTCTGTATCTCATTTCCTATCTTTAAAATGGGGGTAACAGTATTCACCTTATAGGGTGTGTGTGTGCACACACCCATATTAAACGAGTTAATAAATGTAAAGAACTTAGAACAGTGCGTGGCACATGATAATCACTCAAGAAATGTTAGCTCTTATTATTGTGTTCTAGGAGTTTGGCACAAACAGGAGAGGAATGAGGTGGAATTTTTTGAGGACAATCAAATCATGTTGTTGTTGGTTAAGCCCTCTCTCTGGTGCTAGCAGGAGGTAAGGTGGACCAGATGGCCCTGATGATGCTGGTTCTCTATGGCCACATACCTTTGGTGGCTCTGTGGTCATCTTGATGCTGACCTGCAAGATTGAGATAGGGAAGTCTGGGTGGGGGATGGAGCTGAGCCAGAGGCGGAAGGATGGATGAGGATCCTCCACCTGCAGCTGCTCCACCAGCTTGTCCAGATTAGGCATCCAAGACAGTGACAGGTGGCAGTTTGCCAGGAACACCCAGTGTCCTGCAAGGAGATGCCAGGGTCAGTGGGAATCATTTCCTAAGCCCTGCCTGTCCTCATGCTTTCCACCTGGTGTTGGGGTGGGGGTGCTGGGGGGGCCTAACACTAAGATCTGCCACTTCTGGGGCCCTCTGTAGAAGTGGGAGGTACAGGGACAGTAGTGTAATTGAGGTTGGAGGTTCTAGGGACAAGGACTGGGCTGAAGATGGGGGTGGAAGAAAGGATGGACACCAACCCTGAGTCACACCCTCTCGGAGGAGCCGAGCAGCGATGGGGGCCTGGCCCTGGCCCAGGGACAGGGCGTGGAAGCGCTGGGCCATGCCCATGTGCTCTGCCAGCTGCAGCAGGGCACTGGTGGGGTCCACACCAGGGGACAGGATGAACACGAGTGGGGATCGTGGGGTTGAATCCTCCAGCACCTGCCAGAAGCACAGGTATAGCATCAGGCAGAAGGCCACATGACCAAAGTGGGAGAGAGAGATGAAGGAGACTGAAACAGAGCGAGGGAGGCAGGAAAGACCCATGGGCCGTGGGGACAAGGAAGCCGAGCCACCGACCGACTTCATATTCAGCACAGGCGGCTCGATGAAGCGGGAGCCAAGGTTGGTGATGATGAAGGAGGTCACGCAGAAGGCCACGCGGTCCTGGCGCAGGGAGCGAACGATCAGCATCCGTTGCATTTCATTGCAGGCATTTTCCCACTCACCTGGGGATGAGGTGAGTCATTGCAGGGAGAGGGAGTGAGTCTGGAAGAGCGGGGAATCCAGACAAAGGGGCACCTGCCGGGAATGTGCTCCGGGCCAGGAGGCAGGCACCAGCTGGGAGAGGGGATGGAGGACAATGGGAAGGGCCGGCATGTGGCTGAATGGAGGGAAGGAGAAAAGTGAGAGTGGGACACAGACGCCTGGTACCTGGCAGCATCGCCTTCTCCGGGGCAGCATTGGTATACCACAGGTGCCAGTCACGAGGGTACTGCTCAAAGGAGTTCATGAGTCCGTGGAAGTTGGTCAGTTTGTCTAGCTCTGTGATGTTATCCCAGTAGGCATCTGCAAGCCAGCTACTACATGGATTGTCCATTTGGCCCTCCCGATCCAAGACCTGGTGGGAGAAGGGGAGGAAGAAAGGGATTGACTTGGGAATACTTCAAAAGAAGAGTGATCTTTTTCTCCTCTCTCTCTCTCTCTCTCTCTCTGTATTTTTCTCTCTCTCGGTGGGAAAACCAAATGGAATTTTTTTTTTTTTTTTGAGATGGAGTCTTATTCTTGTCACCTAGGCCAGAGTGCAATGGCACAATCTCGGCTCACTGCAACCTCTGACCCCCAGGTTCAAGCGATTCTCCTGCCTCAGCCTCCTGAGTAGCTGAGATTACAGGTGCTCGCCACCACACCTGGCTAATTATTGTATTTTTAGTAGACACGGGGTTTCACCATGTTGGCCAGGCTGGTCTCGAACTCCTGATCTCAGGTGATCATCCTCCTCGGCCTCCCAAAGTACTGGGATTACAGGTGTCAGCCACCGCGCCCAGCCCAAAATGGCTTTTGTATGAGAGTGAAGAGATGAATACAGGGATCCTGGGGAATAAACGTGGGGGCTAGGACTCAGACCCTGCCCTTAGCCCTCACAGTTCAAATTTAGGAAGCTGGCGCCCTCTGCTGGTTGCCTGGTAATAATGTCTCCAACCTAATGACTGGTTGGTAGCCTCACCTTCACAGAAGCACAAACTATTTACTCATTCATTCACTCACTTGCTTATTCATTCTTCTTAACAAATATTTATTGTTCGCCAACTATGCATTTTAATCATTGGGATGCATTACTGAGCAAAATGGACAAATATATCTGCCCTTGGGGATTTTATTTTCTAACATGGGATTGTGAATTCATGGGCAGATTATGAACCAAAAACATAACAAATAAGTAAATTATCTAGTATAGCAAAGACGGCAGTGCCAAGGAAAAATAGGATACTCTGAGGAGGGTAAGGGAGACTGAGAGTGTTGAGGGGTAGTTTGAAGTATTAAATAAGAAGATCAAGGTCGCATTGAGGTGAGGTCTGAAGGAGGTGAGAGATGGCCAGGTGCACACGCCGGGGAGTAGGCTTCCAGCAGAAGGCATGGCCACGCAAAGGCCCTGAGGCGAGACGTGCCAGGGGGTTTGGGGAGGGCAATGAGGCCTGCGTGGCTGGAGTGGAGTGGGGGCTGTGTGGTGGGAGGTGGCGCCAGCCATGGGGAGCCCGTCACAATGGCATCCACTTTAAAAGGACCTCTCAGGCCGGGCACAGTGGCTCACACCTATAATCCCAGCACTTTGGGAGGCTGAGGTGGGAGGATCACTTGAGCCCAGGAGTTCGAGACCAGCCTGGGCAACATGGTGGGACCCCGCCTCTACAAAAAATACAAAAATTAGCCGGGCGTGGTGGCGCAGGCCTGTAGTCCCAGCTACTCCAGAGGCTAAGATGCGAGGATGGCTTGAGCCTGGGAGGTCGAGGCTGCAGTAAGCCAAGATCACTGCCACTGCGGTCCAGCCACAGTGAGTGACAGAGTGGGACCTCTCTGGTTGCTGTGTTGAGAGTTTGGGGTGGGAGGCAGGAAGTGAAGGTGGGAAAAGTCAAGAAAATGTCTAGGAGGGCGGGAGAGTGCAGCATGGTTGTCTGGAAGCCTTAGGGGCCTCCTTGAGGTTCACGATCATGGACTTAAAGCGCGTCCAGTCGGTGTGGATGTGTTCTTCTCCGGCCATGCTCAGTGCACTGGCCGCGCAGGGACAGAGGGGAAGAGGAGCTGGATCTAGCCAGAGCGGTAGATGCGACAGAGAGAGGAGAAAAGCTGGGGTTGAGGAGCCTGTGAGGGAGAGATTGTGAGGGCGACCATGGAACTCAGGCTGGGGAAGGAGTGCCTTGAAAGGCAGTAAAAAAGCGGCAAGATCAGGCCAGTTTGTGGGTCACAGGTGAGACATGCCACAAAGCCCAGCCTGCGCTGAGTGCAAGGGGGTGCATGGCAAGTCACCTCCGCAGCCCCAGGGAGCTCACCATGCACCTGATGCTGGCCTGGATTTTCTCAGCTCACTCACTGATGCTGTGGGCCTGACCCTCTGGGTCTGGAGTCCTTGTCACACTTGCCCTCATCCCCAACCTTGACCATCCCATCCTGGGATGTGCTCTCTGCCCAACTCACCACACCCCCACGTAGAAAGAAGTTGTATTCATCCATGTTGAGCTTGCCAGAAGTCTCCAAGATTTTGGCACACATATGAAAACTGAATAGTAGTTTGTGGCGTTCGAAAAGGGTACGGCAGGTGTACCTGGGAGAAAGGGACAGGGAAGAGGGAGGGGCAGCATGGAATGGGGGCTGATGCTCCATGCGAATGCTATGATGCTACTATCACACAGCTTCACACAGAGGACCTCACCAGCCTCTAATCCTAACCTCCTGGAAACAGCTGAGGACTCAGGGGCCTAGACACAAGAATTTCCCAGAGTCCACTTATTATTATTATTACTTTTTGAGACAGAGTTTCGCTCTTGTCACCTAGGCTGGAGTACCATGGTACGATCTCGACACACTGCAACCTCCACCTCCCAGGTTCAAGCGATTCTCCTGCGTCAGGCTCCCAAGCAGCTGGGATTACAGGAGCCCATCACCACGCCTGGCTAATTTTTGTATTTTTAGTAGAGATGGGGTTTCACCATGTTGGCAGTCTGGTCTTGAACTCCTGACTTCAGGTGATCCACCCGTCTCAGCTTTCCAAAGTGCTGGGATTACAGGTGTGAGCCAACGTGCCCAGCCATTCACTCATAATTAGTCATTCAGTTCCATTAAAAAACAAAACATTCATTATTCCCCTACTGTCTTGCCAGGCACTCTGCTAGGTCCTGAAGACACAAAGATGAATAAGCCACAGTCTCGGAGAGGACAGAGAGGCCATCAGTTATGATGTCCCTGCCTGCTGGACTTGGAAAGTTTCCGAGGAGCTGCCCCAAGCTGCAGTAGAGTTTTCAGGTGACATGGGAGAGGCAGAGAGATCACAGCATGAGCAAAAGCATGAGAAGGGCACAGCATGCAGGGCAGTCAGGGACGCTCAGGCCCCCAGTGCAAGGTGGGAAAGGTGAGGCTGAGGCAGGAGAAGGCCAGGTCCTGAGGGCTTTCGTGGGCCACAGGGGCCAAGCAACCAACCACTGGCAGTCAGACCCGGGAAGCGGCATGGGCAGATTTGTTCAGGTGGGCAATACAGGAGGGTGGGTTGAGAGGGACAGTGGGTAGAGGCAGAAGGACCTCTAGGAGACCATTGTGCAACTCAGAAAAAAGGATCACCAGGGCCAGAACTAAAGTACAGCCAAGCAGTGGGAAGATGGGGAGGGAACAGTTGCAGAAATATTCATGAACAAAACCTGGTGACTGCTTTGAAAGGGAAGAGTCAAGGATAACTCCCAGTTTTTGCCAGGCGTGGTGGCTCATGCCTGTAATCCCAACACTGTGGGAGACCATGGCAGGAGGATCCCTTGAGCTCAGGAGTTTGAGACGAGCCAGGGCAACATAGGGAGACCCTTTCTGTACAAATAAAAATTATAAAAAATAAAGGATAACTCCCAATTTCTGGCTTGGGTGACTGGGTTGTGGGTGTTGGTGCCATCCAAGGATGAGGACCCTGAAGGAAGAGGGAAGAGAATGAGTTTGATCTGAAGTGAGTTGAGCTTGAAGGGTCTGTGGGATGTCAGGGTAGAGAAGTCCAGTTCCTTGCTGCTCAAATGTGATCCACAGACCAGGAGCAGTGGCACCCCTGGGAGCTTGTTGGAGTTGCAGAACCCAGGCCCCACCCCAGACCTGCAGAATCCCAACCGGTACTTTCACAAGATTGCCAGTGCACTTCCTGCCCGTTAACATCTGGGCAGTGCTGGTATCTCCAACAGTTGTGTAGACAAGTCCAGTGCTCAAGGGAGGGCTACAGACACAAGACAGGGAATCATCAGCCCACAGGTGATGGTTAAGCCATGAGAGTGAGGAGCTACCAGGAGGACATATGCCAAGGACAGCGGCAGGCTGAGAGCCGCGGTGCGGGAAAGCACGAAGGTGCAGTGGCCAGAAGAACCACAGCCACTCGGCCTCCGGGCTGGGGCATGTTGGGGGCACCCTCAGACCTGTAGACAGCGTAGGTGTGGTAGTCATTCAGGTAGTCAATGCGGTCCTCCAGCTTATTGCTGCGGTGGCTTTTGTCAATGCTGAGAATAAAGAGGCTGATGTAGGCATCCAGTGAGAACTGGTACATGGGGTCGATGCAGCCCATATCATTGAGCACGAAGAACAGGATTGATGCCCGCTGGGCGCATGGGCGGTAAGCCTGCCGGTGGGGATGGGTGGAGTCAGGGCCACTGAGGGACGTGGCAGGGAGCAGGGGCTCAGGGAAGGAGGGGTCTCGAGCCGTCATGATGGAGTTGCATCTTGGATGGCTGGTGGGAGGCAGGACTGGAGGGCCGGGAGCTTACCTCCCGCGCCAAGTCAGTGTTGATCTCTGTGGTCTCACTGGTCTCCAGCTGCTCAGTCACCTCTGTGGCTGTGATCTTGGAGGTATGCAGCGTGTTCACCAGCTGCACATCATCCAGCAGGGAGCCGGTGGCCTCATTCAGCAGCCTAGGGGGAGGCCCAGAGGCACATGGAGCAAGGGGTTAGCGGGACCAGGCTCCCTGGGATGCTGTTGTGCCTGGGGTAGACTGGGTGGAGGCTGGCTGGGAGTAGACCCGTGGGGCAGTGGGAGGGGAAGGCAGGGCCTCACCGCAGGATCTCATCCTCCAGCTCCTTGAGCTTCCTTTTACCAGCCGCGATGTTGATGACCAGTGAGTCCTTCTGCTCCTCCAGCTCAGGCCGCTCCTTCCGCACCACAATGCCCAGCAGCTGGGCCTCCAGGCCCTGGGGGCATCAGGACTCACAGTGAGGGGCTGTCACTCCTTCGACCTTCACCTTCCTCATCTCTTTCCACCTTGAAAGACCCCTCATCCTCAGCTGCCCAACACAAGCTTATCCCTTTTCTCAATCCTTCCAAACTCTTCCTGCTTCACCCTAGCTCAGTCTGGACCTCAGCCTGTACCCACCTGTTCTTTAACAGCAAAGTTGACGATGGTGGTCTTGGCTGAGGTCTCTGGGCTGTAGTGGGGGTTGGAGAGCTTGGTGGTGATGTAGAAACGGAAATTGGTATTATATTCCACCTCCTTATCGCCAATGCGCATCAACAGCCGACCACCTGCATCCACGGAAGGGTCAGGGGCAAGGACTCCATGTGATGGGTACCAGCTAACCCATCCCCCACCGGCATCCAGGGGCAGCGACTCAGCCTGTCCTAAGGCCCCAGGCCAGGGCTGTCTGAATGGAGGGACAGGTAAGAAGAGGACACAGTCAGAGAGCCAGCCCTTCCCTCCCTAGCATCCCACTTGGCTGGTCTTGGGGACTTGTCCTGACCGATTCGGGCTACAGATTTGTTGAGCATGGGGTTCAGTGTGGGGTCCAGATATTCCTGCACGTTCTGAAGTAGCACCGGGTATCCAAAGTGAATGGCGTGTTCTAGGATTCGCAGGTAATCGCTCATCTGCAGGTCGATGATCTTCAGGCCCTAGAGAGCAAGGGGGAAGGTGAAGGAACACTACGGGAGAGGTGGGGCCTCAGGAAGGGGGGGGCTAACCTGACCCCCCAGCCTCACACCTGGCCTCCTTCCATGTTCTTAATCCATTTCAGGGCCTGGGCCTGAGGGTCGATCATCAGTGCCCACCTGGAAGGGGAGTACAGGTCAGAGGTGAGGCCCTCTCTCCCATGCTCCCGTACCGCCCCCACGCCCAGCAGCACCCTCACCTGTTGCCTCGGGTGACGATGATGCCATTCTCAGTGGAGAAGGCGTCTGAGGGCAACCCTTGGATGTTCCAGTCCCGGACTTTGGTAGGATTGCACAGGAAGTTATCGATGGCGAAAGAAGGGGAGCAAGGAACCTGAAGCTCCCAGATCTGGGGAGAGAAAAGCCCCATGCTTTAACTTGAAGAGCTGAGCCCAGCAGCCCCCGCGCCTTCACGGTATCTCTTAATATTCCCAAAGGTCCTGCCCCCAGCCCTGGTCTCGGAGCCTACTTGTCATGCCTGAGTCCCATCTCACCTTCCCGATCCAGATTTGGTTGACAATCTCATCCCGGTAGTTGGTCAGGAAGGGTCCCATGTAGGACAGGAAGGCAGCTGCCAGGAGACAGTCCCCCACCAGGTAGCCCAGGTCCTCCTCCAGGCCCTGGCGGACAGGAGGGAGGGTAAGCCTGCCTGGGCCCCAGCACTCTGGGAGACACTTGGAATGCTTTTGAAGGCACCCTCTTCTGGACACTGTCAGGTTCAAAGAGGATCTTTCCCTCCCCTAAACCTGTGTGTCCTGACAACTCTAGCCTGGTTCTAATTACTTTTGAGTTCTCTATCTCTAATGGCAATGTTTACATTCTGGTGATAAGGCCTAACCTTTCTGTGAAGCCAGGAGCTCACTGAGGGGCAGAAGCAAGATGTGCTGTGTCTGTTTTCTGTCTGGTTGTTGGGCTACATCAAGAGTCCTTGTGTGTGCTTCCCAGCCCTGCCCAAACACTGAAGCAGATCCCTAATAATGCAAAAAGCCTTTCCTTCCATTGCTCTCACCAAAGGTGTGCAGGGGGAGGGGAAGAGCTCCCACGCCTCAGTTCTTAGAGTTCCCTATACCCAGGTGTCCCCGTTTTCCCTGACTGCTCCTCAAGCTAAAAGGGATGGGTCTCTCGGAAGTGGCGAGCAGAGTGAAAGGACACCAGGTAGTACAGCTGATCTCACCTGGACTGTCTCCTCCCATCTGGCCTTCTCGCCAGCCAACCCCGACACGAGCATCCCAGCTCGCTCCAGCTTCAGCTCCATCTCTTCAGACTTCTTGCGAAGCTCCTCCTTCTGTGCCAGCTTCTCATCATACTGTTTCTTTAGCATCTCCAGTTTCTCAGCTACCTGGGAGAGATTCGAGTATAGCGCATCAAACACAGGGCTCGCAGCCAGATTGTTCTTGTTCACATCATGACTCTGCCATTTTGTAGCTGCCATTTTGTAGCTTTGTTAAATTAATCTCTTTGAGCCTAGTTTCCTCATGTTGTAAAAGAATACCTACCCTATAGGGTTATCGTGAAGAGTAAATGAGATAAAATACGTGAGATGAGGTGAATTTTCTTCCCCTTCCTTCCACCACCCTTTCCTAGAGCCCAGAAACTACTTGGTAGTTTCAGGGTAGCTGGGTAGGGGACGGAGACCTCTTGAAGCATAATAAGCCACACAAGATGGTGGCAAGTGAAGGCCAGACAGCACATAAATGACTGCCACTCCATGCCAGAGGCCATACCTAAGGTGGAACCTTGAAAGAGGAAGAAAAAGAAAGAAATGAACCCAAGAGCTGTTAGAGGGAGAGTCCATTCGAGACAAAGAGCTGGCTGGGCGTGGTGGCTCATGCCTGTAATCCCAATACTTTGGCAAGCCAAGGCAGAAGGATCACTTGAGGCCAGGAGCTTGAGACCAGCCTGGCGACATGGTGAGACCCCGCCTCTATTCAAAAAGTAGAAAATAAGAATAAAAATAAAAAGACAAAGGACCAAGTGCAAGGTCCCACACTAGAGATGGAGGCCTGGGCAGAGCTGTGTATACTAGAGAAACCCCTCTCAAGTCATTGCCACCTGTGGACTCTGTGGAGGTTGGAATGAATATATATATATTCACTGAAATCTGAAGGAGAGAACTGATAGAGCCTTGTCCCAAGATCCTGTATATGTGTGTGTGATCCTGTATATGTGTGTGTGATCCCGTATACGTGTGTGTGATCCCGTATACATGTGTGTGATCCCATATATGTGTGTGTGATCCCGTATATGTGTGTGATCCCGTATACGTGTGTGTGATCCCGTATATGTGTGTGTGATCCTGTATGTGTATGTGATCCTGTATATGTGTGTGTGATCCTGTATATGTGTGTATGATCCTGTATATGTGTGTGATCCTGTATATGTGTGTGTGATCCTGTATATGTGTGTGTGATCCTGTATGTATATCTGACCACCCAACAGCAGTTGTGCCTGGTTACAGACTGTATCACCGTCCTTTTCATCATGAGGAATATGGGGTGGGGGATTACACATAGCATTTACACGATACATGTTCCCTTTCCCGCTGCCACCTCACTGGGAAAGGCAGCCCACATCGTGGAAATAGTTCCACTACTAGAAAGTAGAAGTAGCTCTGCCTTAACTGAGTAATTCTGGTAAGTTTCATCCTTTCGGAGCCTCGCCAAGGTGGCTGCAGGTAAGGGTGATGTGGGCTATGGCACGGTGCAAGGCACACAGCAAGCAAGCACTACCTGACCCAAGCACTTGGAAATGGGAGAGATCACTCTCCAGAAGATATTCTTTAAAACAACATGGAGGGCCAGGTGCGGTGGCTCACCCTGTAATCCCAGCACTTTGGGAAGCCAAGGCAGGCAGATCACCAGGTCAGGAGTTCCAGACCAGCATGGCCAATCTTTTTTCTTTTTCTTTTTTTTTGTCTCAAAAAGAAAGAAAGACATACATGCACGAGGTTAAAACCTAAATGATATAAAAGAGGTTACAGGAAAAGTAGCATCTAGACCACCTTTCCCACAGCCAGACTTCTTCCTCTGAGGCAAACTACTTTGTTTGTTTGTTTGTTTTGAGACGGAGTCTCGCTCTTGTCTCCCAGGCTGGAGTGCAATGGCACATCTCACCTCACCGCAACCTCTGCCTCCTGGGTTCAAGCGATTCTCCTGCCTCAGCCTCCCGAGTAGCTGGAATTACAGGCATGCACCACCACACCCGGCCAATTTTTGTGTTTTTAGTAGAGGCTGATCTCAAACTCCTGACCTCAGGTGATCCTCCAGCCTCAGCCTCCCAAAGCGCTGGGATTACAGGCGTGAGCCACCACGCCCAACCATGGCAAACTACTTTTTAACCACTTTTCTTTTTATTTATGCTGGTTGTTACTTCTGTATCTCTGAAAAATTATGCGTATGCCTCTATTTTTAAAGTATGCTAATCTCGTTGGAGCTTTAAATTTTTAAAAATTATTATGAAAACTTAAACCTAGAAACACCCATCAGCTAGATTTCACAGTTAACATTTTGCTATATATATTTCATCTACTTGTTTTTTGCCAAAATATCTTTAAGTAAATTAAAAACTCATGAAATCCTCAAGCCTAAATACTTTATAACATATCTTTAAAAGTAATAATAATGACATTTTTCTGCATAACCACAACACTATTATTACACCTAATAAAATCTTTGTCATATCTTAGAAAATAATTTTTACTATCTGTTTTTTTTTTTTTTTTTTTGGAGAATAGTGAATATATTTACATAAATCAAAATCCAAAAGGAACGAAAGTGCACCCGGTTAAGGGGAAGTCTTCCTGCCATTCCTGAGCCTGGTCCCAGGCCCTGCCCTAGTTTCCCGTGTAGCTTTCTAGAATAGTCCATGCACAGAATCATTTATATATAAAGAAAATATAAGCACAGTGAAGTCAGAGACTTGTTCACCACTGAATCCTTAGACCTAAAATAATGCCCAGCACTCACATATTTTTTTGAATAAATAATTTTTTTTTTTTTTTTTGAGACAGAGTCTCACACTGTCGCCCAGGCTGGAGTGCAGTGGCGCCATCTTGGCTCACTGCAACCTCCACCTCCTGGGTTCAAGCGATTCTCCTGCCTCAGCCTTCCGAGTAGCTGGGATTACAGGTGTGCACCACCATGCCTGGCTAATTTTTGTATTTCTAGTAGAGACAGTGTTTCAACATGTTGGCCAGGCTGGTCTCGAACTCCTGACCTCCAGTCATCCACCCGCGTCAACCTCCCAAAGTGCTGGAATTACAGGCATGAGCCACTGGGCCTGGCCAGAATAAATGAATTTTTAATCAGTGGTTATATGCTATAATACTGTTTGTACTTCACTATTTTTTTTACTTGTTTCCAAATCAGTTCTTGTGAGCTGCCTCATTCTTTTTAGTAGCTGCAAAATACTCTTATGTGAGACTGAACTATGATTTATGTAACAAGTCTCCTACGGATACACATTTGTGTTTTTCCAACATTCTGCTATTAACAACGCTGTAATAAATATCCTTGTACAAGGCCAGGCATGGTGGCTCACACCTGTAATCCCAGCACTCTGGGAGGCAGAGGCGGGAGGATTGCTTGAGGCCAGAAGTTTGAGACCGTAGCAGCACAGCAAGACCCTGTCTCTATGCCCCCCACCAAAAAAAAAAACCTACAAAAGAAAAAAAGAGAAATTCGTATACAGGCATAAGCACGTCTTCACACTGCTATTTCTCGTTCCTTTAAATTTTACTTTGTGAATTTTTTAATAGCTATCAAAAATTCAAAAGGCCTAAGGGCATGAGGATATGAAAGATCTTCCTCCTAACCCTGTTCCCCACTCAGCCAGGTTCCTTCTTTAGAGGCAGCCAGTGTTACCTGTTCCTTGACTCTCCTTCCAGAGGTATTCTATACATATACAAGTAGTCTTACTGCTGTTGCCTGGTGTATCCATTTTAGGCTTTTTTTTTTTTTGACACAGAGTCTCACTCTTGTCACTCAGGCTGGAGTGCAATCATTCAGTCTCAGCTTCTCAGCTCACTGCAAACCCCGCCTCCCGGGTTCAAGTGATTCTCCTGCCTCAGCCTCCCTAGTAGCTAGGATTACAGGTGCCCACCACCACGCCCAGCTTTTTTTTTTTTTTTTTTTTTTTTTTTTTGGTATTTTTAGTAGAGACAGGGTTTCACCATGTTGGCCAGGCTGGTCTCAAACTCCTGACCTTGGGTGATCCGCACACCTCGGCCTCCCAGAGTGCTGGGATTCCAGGCGTGAGCCACCGCACCTGGCTTTATTTTTATCTTTATTTTTTGAGGCAGGATTTTGCTCTGTTGCCCAGGCTGGAGGACAGTGGCATAATCATAGCTCACTGCACCCTCAACCTTCTGGGCTCAAGTGATCCTCCCACCTCAGCCTTCCAAGTAGCTGGAACTACAGGTGTGCGCCACTGTGTCTGGCTGATTTTTTTATATTTTGTGGACACAAAGTCTCTCTATGTTGCCCAGGCTGATCTCCAACTTCTAGGCTCAAGCAATCCCCCGGCCCCTGCCTCCCAAAGAGCTAGGATCACAGGCATGAGCCACCAAGCCCAGCCTGAATGGTGCACTTCAAAATGGTTATAATGATATATTTTATATGTATTTTACCACGATCAACCCCCTAAGAAAAGAATGTATACATATGTGTGGATTTATAACCCCCGATCCAGTAAATGCTTATTGGTTAGATTGTATCTCTTATATTAATCTATTGCTAAAGATTTCTCCTAGTTAAATTTAAGTGCACAAGTCATGGTTCCAGATAACTGACATTTTGGTAAAGCTAAAACCAAGATTTTCTCTGTGTATCCTCATTACCTCAAATGCTATTGGGTTTCTTCTACGGTCTTTGGCAATGGTAATAACCAGTTTTTTGGCAACGTAATTTTATCTGCAAGTTGTGTATGCCTTATTAAGACCCTTGAGTTCTATTTTAATCTCAAATAATGCTCACGAGAGACTTCATTCTGAACTTAATACAGCCTCTGAGGTCCTGAGGAACAACATCCTTTTCCAGGGAGAAACAGCCCAGGTTAAGAAAACTGATCTACCCAGAGAACCCCCACCCTGCTACGGTCCAAATGTCATGTCTCACTCAAATTCATTTTCAAACTTAATCTCCAGTGGAGTGGTGTTGGGAGGTGGGGCATCTGGGAGGTGATTAGGTCACGGGGGTAGGGCCCTCAGGAATGGGATTAGTGCCCTAGTAAAAGAAGCCCAAGAAAGCTTGTTTGTCCCTTCTGTTATGTGAAGACACACATAAGCGTCATCCATGAGGAACTGACCCTACCAGACATTGAATGTACTTGCACCTTGATTTTAGACTTTCCAGCCTTCGGAACTGTAAGATATCAATTTCTGTTATTTATAAATTACCCAGTATTTTGTTATAGGAGCCCAAATGAACTGAGATAACCCCTCAGCTGAGATGGAGCAGAACAGGAAGTTGGGGAGGATGACTTGGGGACTTTAACTTCAGAAGGTTGAAGTCTAGATTTTTAACTCACAAAGGCAAGATTAGTTGATGTCGAATTTCCATTTCTTTGGACTTTAGTTTGCAAAGGGATTTATTTAATCTTTGAAATTTAATTTCTCCCTAGGGGTTATATTCAAATTTGTGGAATTTCTGTATATTGTTATTATTGGAGCGTTTTAATGCTGTCATTTAATTGAACTAAATGGCCTCTGATATGTTATGTTGGACAATGTGACTAGACATAATTTGGAATGCAAAATGGGAAAAAAATCTGAATGTTCAACCTTAGGGATATAGTTGCCCTAAAGTAGATTAAGACATAATTTGGAATGCAAAATGGGAAAAAATGGGAATGTTCAGACTTGGGGATACAGTCGCCTTAAAGTATATTAAGATTCTGTTCTGACCCATTTCAGAGCCTTCTGGGGCCCTATCTACGCCACTGGTTTGTAACCCTTGTTGTATATCAGAACTAGCTGACAAGTGA
The DNA here is from genome assembly GCF_000001405.40 of Homo sapiens. Taxonomy (NCBI): domain Eukaryota; kingdom Metazoa; phylum Chordata; class Mammalia; order Primates; family Hominidae; genus Homo; species Homo sapiens. The sequence continues at coordinate 7,810,928 of NC_000017.11, read as the reverse complement.
GTAATGGCTAAAGCTATTTACTCAAAATTTGTTCTGATCTGCAATGTAGTTGGGCTCTGAGCCTCTTTTCAGACCTGAGCCTCAGTACCATGCATAAGCTTTCCCATCTCTGGTAGGTTCTGACAGGAAAGCTTTTAAAATGCTGATTCTTAGGCTCTGCCAGGGATTCTTACTTAATTGGCCTGGCAGGGCCCAGGGCACAGTGCCTAGTTGTGAAGTTGTATTAAAAGGTACATTTGGGGGCAGGCGCGGTGGCTCACACCTGTAATCCCAGCACTTTGGGAGGCCGAGACGGGCAGATCACTTGAGGTAAGAAGTTCAAGACCAGCCTGGCCAACGTGGTGAAACCCCATCTCTACTAAAAATACAAAAATTAGCCGGGCGTGGTGGCAGACGCCTGTAATCCCAGCTACTCGGGAGGCTGAGGCAGGAGAATCACTTGAATCTGGGAGGCAGAAGTTACAGCGAGCTGGGATCGCACCACCGTGCTCCAGCCTGGGTGATAGAGCGAGACTCTCTCTCAAAAACAAAACGAAACAAAACAAAACAAAAAGGGTATATTTGGGCCAGGTGGGGTGGCTCACCCTTGTAATCCTAGCAACTTGGGAGGCCAAGGCAGGAGGATCACTTGAGCCCACGAGTTCAAGACCAGACTGGGCAACATGGTGAAACCCCGTCTCTACAAAAAATATAAAAAATTAGCCAGGAATAGTGGAGTGTGCCTGTAGGCCCAGCTACTCAGGAGGCTTGGGTGGGAGGATCACCAGAGCCCAGGAAGTCAAGGCTGCAGTGAGTCGTGATTGCGCCACTGCATTCCAGTCTGGGCGACAGAGTGAGATCCTGTCTCAAAAAAAAAAAAAAGAAAAAAAAGAAAGAAAAGAAAGAAGAAAAGGAAGGAAGGAAGGAAGGGAGGGAGGGAAGGAAGGAAAGGAAGGTACATTTCGGGGCACGGTGGCTCACACCTGTAATCCCAACAACTTGTAAGACTGAGATGGGAATTCAAGACCAAGACCAGCCTGGGCAACACAGCAAGACCCCATCTCTAAAAATAAACACATAAATGCTGCTGCTGCTTTTTTTTTTTTTTTAAGGTGCATTTGGCTCATAAACGTCACAGGCTTTGTCCGTAAAAAAGGAGAAATGTTTGTTCCCTGTCTGCTTTCTCTTTTCACTTAGGGGTTCTCAAGTGTGGGTGTGGACCCTCCACCAAAATACCTAACACTGGGTGCACTATAAATGCTTGTTTGATGAATGATGTTGTTGGCAGTGCACCCCAGAGGTCCCATTTTTCACATATGAGGAACCACTCCTAATTATTTAGCCCAGGATATGATTCATCTAGGTGAAAACCCTTTCCAAACAGATTGCCACACCTGTGATTCTTCGCTCTTGGGAAAAGACAGAGTAAAAGAGCAAAGTTTTGTGAGAGGTTGGGAGGTGGCGGTGGTAGCAGGGACGGAGCCGTGGAGGAGCAGGTGCAGAGGTGCAGAGAGAAGCCCCGTTCACCCAACCTGGGTGAGTTCCCTGCACAGAAGAGGCCTCGTGGGCAGCTTAGCTTTTGACAGTAAAGATGCCTACAGCAGGAAAAAAACGGGGATGAGCTGTGGGCAGAGAGGCGTGAAGTCAGGAAACACAGGATCTAGCCCAGCTCTGACGGTGACGAGCCAGTGAGCCCTTGATCTCCCTAGCCTCAGGCTCCTCATCTGATCTGTGGAGGTCGAACCTGGATGTTTTCCAAAGTTGGTTTTAGGTAAAACAGTTTGAAATTGTATGGCCAGCTTCAATTATATAAATATTTTAAATTTCTATATGAAGATAGCACCAACAAAGTTACAGGGCAAGCAAAGATCCAAAGATTGGAAACAGTGTCTCCCTCAAATGGGGAACAGTTAAATAAATGATGGTGTCCCTGTAGCTACCCACTGGAATATCATGCAGTGGTAAAAAGAAAGCAGAGGCTCTTTACATACTGATAAGGAACAATCTTCAACTCACAGGTAAATAAGATAGTAAGGTGCAGGCTGGGGGCAGTGGCTCATGCCTGTAATCCCAGCACTTTGAGAGGCTGAGGCTGGCAGATCACCTGAGGTCAGGAGTTTGAGACCAGCCTGGCCAACATGGCAAAACCCCGTCTCTACTAAAAATACAAAAATCAGCCGGGCGTGGTGGCGGGCACCTGTAGTCCCAGCTACTCAGGAGGCTGAGGCAGGAGAATCTCTTGAACCCAGGAGGTGGAGGTTGCAGTGAGCTGAGATTGCGCCACTGCACTCCAGCCTGGGTGACAGTAATATCGGCTGCTTTCAGAGAGGAAAGCTGGTGACTAGAGAACAGAAGGTGGGCGAGGGGAAACTTCTTATTGGATACTCCTTTGTACCTTTCACACTTCAAACCATGTAACTGTATTACCTTGGGGACAGAGTAGTATCACCTATTAAATCAATCATTTAAAAAATCAAATGATAAACTGGAAGAATTTTGAATTTTTTTGATAATGGCACTTGCCCATCATTCTGCCTGGTTCAGGAGTCACTTATGCATGCATCTTTTTTTTTTTTTTTTCTGAGACAGTCTCACTCTGTCGCCAGGCTGCATTGCAGTGGTGTGAACTTGGCTCACTGCAACCTCCACCTCCTGGGTTCAAGCGATTCTCATGCCTCAGCCTCCTGAGTAGCTGGGATTACAGGTGCCTGCCACCATGCCCGGCTAATTTTTGTATTTTTAGTAGAGATAGGGTTTCACCATGTTGGCCAGGCTAGTCTTGAACTCATGACCTCAGGTGGTCCACCTACCTCGGCCTCCCAAAGTGCTGGGATTACAGGCATGAGCCGTGGCGCCCAGCCTCATGCATGCATCTTGCAGGAGATCGCCTGGGTTGCCCAGACTCCTCACGGTAACTAACCCACTTGGCCTCTGGGAGAGCCCGTCCCCACACAACATATGCACAGACACCCTCACGTTGTTCTTGGTCCACAGAAGCGACACAGACACTCTTGACCCATCCCTCTGGCAAAGACCAATTTGCCACGCAGATGTCATCAGTTAATATCTCAGGCGCCATCTCCGAAGGGTGTGACAGAGATTGCCAGCTCCCAAGTCAATCTTTGGAAGGGCTCCTGGGTCGCAGTGCCTTTGAGCCTTTATAACCCTCTGCAATTGACTTAGCTTTCTGAGCCAGAGGCAGCCCAGTCTAAACAGGGCACAGAGTGGGAAGGAGACAGGACTGGAATGGCACAGGACATGGGGAAGGGGGCTAGAATTAGATGGGGGAAAACAAATGCTTAATGAAGCAATCCAGAACTCAGGGAGAGGGACCTCCGTGGAAAGGACAGGCGATCAGCTCACCTCCCGCAGCTTCTCCTGGGCCTCAGCGAGCGCGGCTTGCTTCTCCCGAAGCTGAGCCAAGGCAGCGTTCATTCGGATTCGCTTGGGCTCCACCACCCGATATAGCCGCCCATACAGCTGTGGGGAGACAGTCAGGCTGTGGGAGTCGCCCACCAACCCACCAACCCCCTCACCTCCAGGCATCCCCTCCTTCCACCTGGGTCTGTGCATCCGCACTCCCCCAGGCCTGCCCTCCCTACCGCCCCGCCCCAGCCCTGACGCCTTTACCTCCATGGCCCGCACCCACATGCAGAGGGACTTGGCAGCCAGGGAGACGCGGCCGATGATATCAGGCTGGAAGTCAGGCTGGGCGCAGTAGGCCCCAATCTTCTTCAGAACCTTATCTGAGATATTGTCTTTATCAAAGTTGATCAGTGACTTGATGAAGTTCTGTTCCCCTGTGGGATGAAAATTAGGGGCCTTAGCCAGAGGCTTAATGCCATCCTCCTTGTCCAGCAGTTTCACCTCCACTACTCACGCATAGCCACATTTTTCCTGGGCTCAGTTCCTAAGGCCAAATTATCTGACCTGGCCCCTAGTTCCTCCCTCTGACTTGACTCTGTCTCTGGGCACCTCTCAGTCCCCAAGGTCCTCGACAATCTTCCCAGCTCCTCTCTCATCACTTACCTTGAACACTCAGCCAAGCCACCCTACACTTCACTTTTTTTCTCTCTGCTTTGCACTTTCTTCTAGGGCAGGGATCACCAAACCGAGACTGGCAGGCTGTATTCTACTATGGGAACCCAGAGCAGAGTAAACCACAAGAATGGAACACAGAGTCCCGGTTCCCATTTTCTGATTCTTGTTCCCCTCTGGGGGCCTGAGGGCATTCCTGCCCTTGGATGCAGCAATACATTCTTCTATCTTTTTTTTTTTTTTTTTTTTTTTTGAGATGGAGTGTCGCTCTGTTGCCCAGGCTGGAGTGCAGAGGTGCAATCTCGGCTCACTGCAAGCTCCGCCTCCCAGATTCACACCATTCTCCTGCCTCAGCCTCCCGAGTAGCTGGGACTACAGGTGCCTGCCACCACACCCGGCTAATTTTTTTGTATTTTGTAGTAGAGACAGGGTTTCACCGTGTTAGCCAGGATGGTCTCGATCTCCTGACCTCGTGATCCACCTGCCTCAGCCTCCCAAAGTGCTGGGATTACAGGCGTGAGCCACCGTGCCTGGCCCATTCTTCTATCTTTAGGACAATTTTGGTTAATATACAGATGCTCCCGATAAGCCCATCATACATTGAAAATATGGTAAATCAAAAATGCATTTAATGCATCTAACCTACTGAATGTCATAATTCATCCCAGCCTAACTTAGACGTGCTCAGAGCACTTACATTAAGCCTACAGTTGGGCAAAATCATCTAACACAAAGTCTATTTTATAACAAAGTGTTGAATATCTCATGTAATGTATTGAACACTGTACTGAAAGTGAAAAACAGAATGATTGTATGGGTACCATTGTAAAGACGAAAAATCTTAAGTCAAACCATTGTAAGCTGAATGTCAGTATTAAGATGAGCTGTTTTCTGTTACTTACAACCAAATAATCTTTTTAAAAATTTCATATTTAATAATTATAAAAGCAATCAGAAATGTAGTTTTTTCTTTTTCTCTTTTTAGTGAAAAGAAATAGGTAACTTTGTAAAAAGTCAGAAAATACCAGTAACAACTAAATAATCTTTTTTTTTCTTTGGAGACAGGGTCTGGCTCTGTCTCCCAGGCTGGAGTGCAATGGCGCAATCTCGGCTCACTGCAGCCTCAGCCTTCCAGGTTTAAACGATCCTCCTGCCTCAGCCTCCCAAGTAGCTGGGACTACAGGCATGCACCATCATGCCCAGCTAATTTTTGCATTTTTTTTTGTAGAGATGGGTTTTCGTCATGTTGCCCAGGCTGGTCTCAAACTCCTGGGCTCAAGTGATCTGCCCACCTTGCCCTCCCAAAGCTTGGGTTTACAGGCATGAACCACCACACTCGACCCACAACCAAAGAACCTTAACTGATATTCATGCGGTCTCCTTTCTACTAGGCCCTGTGCTCTTGAGGGTAAGAACAATGCCTCATCCATCCCTATCTTTCTGAGTGTCTGCTGCACAGCCGACGATCAATAAACACTGGGTGAGTGGAAGTCATTGATTTCATTGTCTCTAGCTTACCTAGCTGCCTCTTGGCCTCTGCCCATGTGGGCTCGTTGCCTCGAAGAATCATAACTGCCTGCATCACTATCTCCACTTGGGCTGGGGGCCGTCCATAAGACTTGATCTCTCCTATATCCTTCTTGTTCAGAGACTCCAGGGCCTGGGGGAAAAGGGGATAAAGTGAGGGTAAGACAGGACCTTCTGGAGACAGAACCTAGCTGAGGTGCCACCTCTTCTTCCCACTTCCCCAGAGTCTTTGAGGACAAAGAAGACTGGCCCATTCCCTTCCCCGGGGCCTCGCGTTCCTGGCTCCCATCCTTGCACCCGCCCCTGGTACCCGCATGGCCTCTTCCAGGGCGGGCAGTGCCTCTTCTAGATCTTTCTGGGCATTGTCAGCCAGTGCCTGACACTTGATTTCCTCAACTGCAATCTTTTCACTGTTGGCTGTTACGGCCTAGGGATGAAAAAAGGACAAGGGTTTTTTGTCTTTGCCTTGGGCAAAGGTGGGAGTGACGGTGTTGGTGGAAAAGATGAAAGAGAAAGCTAAAGAATTTTTTTTTTTTTTTGAGATGGAGTCTAGCTCTTTCGCCCAGGCTGGAGTGCAGTGGTGCAATCTCAGTTCACTGCAACCTCCGCCCCCAGGGTTTAAGCGATTCTCCTGCCTCAGCCTCCCGAGTAGCTGGGATTACAGGCACCCGCCACCACGCCCAGCTAATCTTTGTATTTTTAGTAGAGACAGGGTTTCACCATGTTGGCCAAGTTGGTCTCGAACTCCTGACCTCAGGTGATCCTCCTGCCTCAGCCTCCCAAAGTGCTGGGATTACAGGCGTGAGCCACTGCACCCAGTCACTAAAGAAAATTTAAGAAGGGGGGAACATGGGTTCCCTGACGCAGTAGCCGGCACTGGTGGGAGTGGGGCACGGGGGGTGGGCGTGGGCCCTGGACCTTCTGCTGCTCATCTGCCTCCCGCTTCTGCTGCACAATGATGACCAGGTACTCCTCACACTGCTTCTGGAACTCAGCCACCTTCTTCTTGGCATCCTCCAGCTCCAACGACATCACTTGCACCTTTTCCCTAGTTTCGTCGATCTTGAACAAGCCTGTCCGCAGTTTATTGGCTTGGGCCAGCAGCTCCTGCCGTTTTTCTCCCAGCAACCTGGGGGAAAGAATAGGACAGGGTGTGGAGAGGCGGGGCTTCCGGAAAGCGCGGTGTCCTGTAAGGTCCACCTTCCCCGTGTGTCTCGAGTCCGCCTTCCTTTCTGTTGCCACCAACACTACCCCCACCATCCTGGTCGGGATTCTATCACTTCCTGCCTGGGTCATTGCCAACAGCTTCCCAAGGGCTCTTCTTGATTTCAGGCTCTCATTCCTCTGGTTTGTTCTACACACCACTACCAGAATCAGCTTGTTAAACAGTCTCCATCACACCACCTCCCCTACATGAGAATCTTCCTCTGTTTCCCACTGTGGAACAGGCAGGTGGGCTGGCCCAGGGCAGGCAGCCGTCCCTCAGCTCCAGCCTGGTTTTTTTTCCCTATGGGAATGAATGTGGGCCCAGTATTGCAACAATTTATTGCTCTCTCTCTCTCTTTCTTTTTTTGTAGAGATGGCGTCTTGTTATTTTGCCCAGGCTGGTCTCAAACTCCTGACCTCAAGTGATCCTCCCACCTCAGCCTCCCAACGTGCTGGGATTACAGGCATGAGCCACTGCACCTGCCCCACAATTTCTGATTTTTTTTTTTGAGACGGAGTCTCGATCTGTCACCCAGGCTGGAGTGCAATGATGCAATCTCAGCTCACTGCAACCTCCACCTCCCGGGTTCAAATGATTCTCCCGCCTCAGCCTCCCCAGTAGCTGGCATTACAGGCACCCGCCATCATGCCTGGCTAATTTTTGTATTTTTGTAGAGACAGGGTTTCACCATGTTGGCCAGGCTGTTCTTGAACTCCTGACCTCAAGTGATCGGCCCACCTTGGCCTCCCAAAGTGCTGGGATTACAGGCGTGAGTCACCGTGCCCAGCCTTATTTGTATCTTTTAAAATATCCTTTGCAATAAATCAGCAATAGTAGGTGAAGTGTTTCCTGAGTTCTGTGAGCCACTCTAGCAAATTAACTGAACCTGACAAGGGGGTGGTGGGAACCCTTGATTTATAACCGGCCAGGCAGAAACACAGGTAAAACACTGGGCTTTCGGTTAGCATCAGAAGCGGCGGGTGTATTGTGGGACTGAGCCCTCCACCTGTGCGATCTGACTCTAACTCCAGGTAGACCATTTCAGACTTGAGTTATATCATAGGACACCCAGCCAGTGTCCCCTGGAGAACTGCTTGGGTGGGGAAAATCCCCACCACATCTGGTGTCAGAAGTGAAGTACAGCCAGCCTTCCGTATCCACATCCGTGGATTCAACCAACAGAGGATCAAAAATATTTGAAAAAAGTCTGGGCACGGTGGCTCATGCCTGTAATCCCAGCACTTTGGGAGGCCAAGGCCGGAGGATCACCTGAGGTCAGGAGTTCAAGAACAGCCTGGCCAACATGGTGAAACCCTGTCTCTACTAAAAATACAAAAAAAAAAAAAAATAGCTGGGCATGGTGGCGCGTGCCTGTAATCCCAGCTACTAGGTAGGCTGAGGCAGGAGAGTCACTTGAACCCGGGAGGCAGAGGTTGCAGTGAGCCAAGACTGCGCCACTGCACTCCAGCCTGGGCAACAGAGCGAGACTCCGTCTAAAAAAAAAAAAATTGCAAAAAAATTTGCATCTGCACTGAACATGTACAGACTTTTTCTTCTTGTCATTATTCCCTAAACAATACAGTATAACAACTATTTACATAGCATTTACATTGTATTAGGTATTATAACTCATCTAGAGAGGATTCAAAGTATATGGGAGGAACGTGCATAAGTTACATGCAGATACTCCATTCTATATCAGGGACTGGAGCATCTGTGGATTTTGGTATCCGTGGGAGGTCCTGGAACCAATCCCCCACGGATGCTGAGGGACTGTACTGTGTTGAGTGAGAGAGTAGGGAAAACACTTTGCTTTTTCTATCTCATACAGGTAGAAAGTCTAGAAGACATTAAAGGCAGACAGGAAAGGACTGGGTATATTATGGCAATGTTCCAGTTATATTATGGTCAGAAAAAGACAGAGAAACTTCATGCCAGAAAATAAGGGCCAAGAGGGTGTGGAGAGCGGCTGAGGGGGACATAGCCAGAAGGCTCTGGAGACAGCCCCTCCCACGGGAAGCCCCAACTCCCTCTTCCCAACTTCCTGGGCAGAACTGTGGCCTTTGTGTCTCTGCCCTTGCACATCAGCATCATTTCACCCATCGCCCTCAGAAGACACCAGCCTCCCTGGCCCTGCACATCCCCTGCCCCCCTTCATACTTCTTATATCCAGACAGGAGTTCCAGGTATTTGGTGGGTGTGACATAGTTGTGTCTCCGCAGTTCCAACAGCATCTTCTGGGAATACTGAGCTACTGACCAGTGCATAGTGACAAAGATCTGGGCCACCTTCCTGTGGATCTGAGGCCAGTGACACAGGATGAAAAGGCAGATGGAAACGGAAGTGGGAGAGAGGCTGGGAGTGCGATGAGAGGCGGGAAGGAGAGAGGCCGGGGGTGCGATGAGAGATGAGAGGCGGGGGAGAGGGAGGCCAGGGATGCAATGAGAGGTGGGGAGGAGGGGCTCACATTCTCCTGAGTTCCCAGGTCTACTCCTATGAGGCACTTCTCAGCCACCTCGAGCAGGGCCTCTTGGGGCCACTCTGAGAACCAGTTGATGGTTGTGCAGTTCACCAAGGCTGGGTACTGGCGGATCCAGTTCCTGGGAAGGGGTTTGGAGAGGCTGTAAATTCCGTGCACAGACACAGCCTCCAGGTACTGGCTTCCCAACACGCATCCACTCACTTTCTAAGAACCTAAAATGCCCCATCCCCTTGCTCCTGTATCTCCTTGTCCAAATTCTGTTCCTGCAGAGCTAGTTCAGCAGAGCATTTAGAAACAGCTTCTGGCATCAGAAAAACCTGGTTCTACACTTTCGAGGTGTGGATCTCCAGCAAGTATCTAAGCTCTTTGAATGCCAGTTTCCTCGTCTCTAAAATGGGAATAATAATACATGCTGACTAGGATGGTTGGGGGATTCAGTGAGGTGTCACACGTGAAAAGCTCAGCGTAGCGCCTGGCTATGGTAAGTACACCGTGTATCACAAACATTAAAAACAAAATGGTAGGCCGGGCACTGGAGTTTGTGCCTGTAATCCCAGCACTTTGGGAGGCCAAGGCAGGTGGCTTCCTTGAGCCCACGTGTTCGAAACCATCCTAGGCAACATGGCGAAACCCCATCTCTACAAAAAGTACGAAAATTAGCTGGCCGTGGTGGCATGCGCTTGTAGTCCCAGCTACCGGAGAGGCTGAGGCAGGAGGATCACTTGAGCCTGGGAGATGGAGGTTGCAGTGAGCCAACATGGCACCACTGCACTCCAGCCTGGGCAACAGAGCAAGACTCGGTCTCAAAAAAAAATTTTTTTTTTTTTTTGAGACGGAGTCTTTCACTCTCGCCCAGGCTGGAGTGCAGTAGCGCCATCTAGGCTCACTGCAAGCTCCACCTCCCAGGTTCACGCCATTCTCCTGCCTCAGCCTCCCGAGTAGCTGGGACTACAGGTGCCCGCCACCATGCCCATCTAATTTTTTTGTATTTTTAGTAGAGACGGGGTTTCACCGTGTTAGCCAGGATGGTCTCGATCTCCTGACCTTGTGATCCACCTGCCTCGGCCTCCCAAAGTGCTGGGATAACAGGCATGAGCCACCGCGCCCAGACAAAAAAAAATTTTTAAGGTAATCCAAATTGCTTCCCTGCACAAGTTCTCCGCCCTCTTCCTAGTTTCTAATTCCCTTAAAAATCTAGTCATATCAAGAAAATGTGGTATAGACATACAAGATAATATTATTCAGCCTTAAAAAAAGAAGGAAATCCTGACACATGCTACAACATGGATGAACCTTGAGGACAATACGCTAAGTGAAATAAGCAAGTCGCAGATAGACAAATGGTAGCTGGGCGCGGTGGCTCACGCCTGTAATCCCAGCACTTTGGGATGCCAAGGCGGGTGGATCACTTGAGGTCAGGAGTTTGAGATCAGCCAGACCAACATGGTGAAACCCTGTCTCTACTAAAAGTACAAAAATTAGCTGGACATGGTGGCGAGCACCTGTAATCCTAGCTACTGGGAGGCTAAGGCACGAAGATTACTTGAACCTGGGAGGTAGAGGCTGCAGTGAGTCGAGATCACAGCACTGCACTCCAGCCTGGGCAACACAGCGAGACTCCGTCTCAAACAAAAAAAGAAACAAAGACAAGTGCGGCATGGTTCCACCTATGTGAGGCATCTGATGTCAGACTCAAGAGACAGCAGCTGGGGAGGGAATGGGGAGCAATGGTTTCATGGGTATGGAGTACGGCCTCGGGAGCATGAGAAAGCTCTGGAGCTGTTACACAACAGTGTGAGTGTACTTCACACGACTGAGCACTGCACTCAGAAACGATTAAGATGATACATTTTGGGTGTGTGTGTGTGTGTGTATTTTGAGACAGAGTCTCGCTCTGTCACCCAAGCTGGAGTGTAGTGGTGTGATCTCGGCTCACTGCAACCTCTGCCTCCCGGGTTCAAGCGATTCTCCTGCTTCATCCTCCTGAGTAGCTGGGACTACAGGCGCCCCCGCCACCATGCCTGGCTAATTTTTTGTATTTTTAGTAGAGACGGGGTTTCACCATGTTAGCCGGCATGGTCTCGATCTCCTGATCTCGTGATCCACCCACCTAGGCCTCCCAAAGTGTTGGGATTACAGGTGTGAACCACTATGCCCGGCCTGTGTGTGTGTGTTTTTAACCACAATTAGATTTACAATGACAAAACAAAACCAAAAAGCCACCCACCAAAACAAACAAACAAAAATCTAGTTATGCCAAAAAAGGATGGACGACTCCCATGTCCACCAAAGGAACTTCCTGAAATCAGGCACAGCCTAAGGAAAGGAGATGGGTGAGGCGGGCAGAGGAGCCTGCTGTTATTCCTGACACTAATTTCCAGAAGGCACAGGAGGCCACAGCAGGGTGAGGGAGCACACAGAAGGGGCTGAGAGAAGGATGTCACAGAAGTCACCTGAAGGGATCCCCCATGGGGCTGAGGCAGAGCACGATGTGCAGGTTGTTCTGCACGCGTTCAATGAGGTAGGCGAAGAGGCTGTCCGATGACTCAGGCACCTGCTCCACCCGGGCCTGGTCTATGATATGCGACTGGATCTGGACAGAAGCCACCCAGGGTCAGAGGGCTGGCGTGTCCATAGCAGAATCAGCGGGGGCAGCGGGTCAGGTGGGGCTGACGAAGTGTTTCCCAGGCTGGACTTGAACTCCTGGCCTCAAACCATCCTCCCACTTCAGCACCCCCCACCCCCGAGTAGCTGGAACTACAAGCTCAAGCCACTGTGCCTGGCTCTGAAGCGTGGGTTTTAAAGCAGCTCTGCCCAGGGTCCCTGGAGGGGACCTTCCACCTTACAGGGCTGAGGTGGGCAGTGGGGGTGTGGCAGTGGGGGTGTGCCAGTGGCACATTCTGGGAGCTGTGGTCCTTCTGGGGTCAGCTAGGCAGGCCAAAGAACTGACTGGTCAAGGGTGTGGAAGGAATCCTACCTCTTCAAATTCATCAGGCTTGTAGAGATTGGGCACCTCGCCTGAGCTGAGGATGTTGTTGATGTCCTCTAGGAAGGACTCATCAGCTATTTGGGTGTCCACAAAAATGAAGGACGTGGTCTTGAGCTCCACCCCAGCCTGGCGATACAGACGCTTGATATCTGGCCGGGGGAGGGAAGGAGGACAAACTCACTGCAGATTCCCCATCCTGGGCTTGATTCCTTTTCTGAGATTTAGGAACCCTCCCCGCCCCGCAGCATACACGCGACACCATCCTACACCCAACACGGGCCAGACACGTCTGCCCATCTGGCTGCCATCTCTCCTCTCTTGTCACTGCAGGAATGTATGCATCTGATCTTTTATTCCTAGCATTTCAGAAACCCAGCCGTACCATCTCGGAACTCCTGCTTCCGATAATGTTTGGTGACCTCGATCTGGAAGGTGGTGTAGTCGCAGATGGATGAAGCCAGGCGGGCCAGACTCTGGCGTCCGCTGCCCCCGATACCCACCAGGAGCATGTTGCCCCGAGGCTGTCCAATGACCCGCACGATCCGTGTGACTGGGGGTGGGGTGGGTGTGAGGGTAATGAGTTGGCTGAGCAAACTCAGGGGACCTCCAGGCCCTAGGCTAGGGATTGGGGCCCCTGAAACTGAAGCAGAGGAACCAAGAGGTATGAGAAGAAGTTGGTGCCCAAGGCCCAGGAGGCAATTCAACTTTTAACCTCCACCTTCTCTGTTAAACACACACTGCCACAGGGCATCTGGGGCCAGGGAGAAAGGCAGCTTCTGGAACTTGATTTGGGAGACCTGGGAAGGGACCCCTATTTCCTTAGACATACCCCATCACTGAGATGATGGGGAAGGGGATAGGCGTGGCAGGTGCTCACTGTGTTCAATAGCCTCTCGGAAGAGCACTAGCTGCATGGGCACGACAGAGGGTGACAGGTTATACTCATTTAGAGCTGTCTCCATGACTGTCTTCAGCACTGTCAGATCCGTGAGGTCTTCATACACCTTGGGCTCCTTCAGGAAATCCCCTGAGCCATGGGAAGAGGGGATCAGAGTCACAAATGCCTGGTTTGCCTCCCCCCACAGGGCTCCACACTTCAGACCCCATGCCCTGACTCCTTCTAGCCCCGATGTTCTAAGAGTGTCAAGCCCAAGGTCATCACAGCTCCTGGCTCACCAAAGATAGGAGGACGCTTGCTGGGACAGAGATGATGAAATGTGAGGTCAAAGAAGGAGCCGAGCTTGTCGCTTATGATGCCCATGAAGGCTTCTGTGTCTGCCGCATCAACCAGCCGGTCAGAGAAGACTCTGTGGGCAGGGAACTGGGGTGAGATCGGGGAATAAAGAGGAGAATGGCCTGGGGAAGGCAGTGTCAGGCTGGGAACAAAGTAGGGGTGGGAGCAAGGCTGAGGAAGCCTTCGTTTGGCCAGGGCACATGCATGTCACCTGAAACATTCATGGATCCAGAGCCGTGTGATGCTGGACTTGGTATCATGGAAGTCCTTGTTGGCTCTAAGCATGCCCTGGAACACCTGGGAAGAGGACTGACTGTTGGGACCAGGGAGCAAAAAGATTCCCTCCAGAAGTTTTTTTTTTTTTTTTTTTTGGGACAGAGTCTCACTCTGTCTCCAAGGCTGGACTGCAGTGGTGCAATCTCAGCTCACTGCAACCTCTGCCTCCCAGGTTCAAGCAATTCTCCTGCCTCAGCCTCCCATGTAGCTGGGACTACAGGCGCGTGCCACCATGCCCAGCTAATTTTTTTTTTTTTTTTTGTATTTTTAATAGAGACAGGATTTCACCATGTTGGCCAGGCTGGTCTTGAACTCCTAACCTCAGGTGATCTGCCTGCGTTGGCCTCCCAAAGTGCTGGAATTACAGGTGTGAGCCACCGCACTTGGCCCAGAAGTTTTAAAGGTAAGGCCAGGGAGTGTGGCACTTCAGCATGGGGGTGACTTTTGGTGCGCATGCTAGTGAGTGTTAAGGCTTAGTTTGAGAAGAGAAAGCCTCCGCGGAGGCTGGGCCAAGCAGAAGGGGCAAGGTCAGGCCGCGAGTCACCTTGGAGATGTCTCGAAGGTTGAAGAGGTAATGCATCTTGGTGGGCGTGGGCAGGAAGCGCTGTACCACGGTGTTGTACATGTCCAGGGTGGCCTCTGTCACCACGTTCCCAATGGGCTTCACCTCTTCCTCAAAGTCCTGAAGCTTCTGATTGATCATGGTGCCGAATATGCGGATGATCTGGGACTTCTAGAAACAGACCCTGGCTCACTCTCCAGGGCTGCTGGCCTTCTAGCCAGAGGGGAAGCCAATAAAGAGCTTGGCTCATGGGCACAATTTAAGGGGGTGTCAAAAAAAATCCTAGGGCCGGGCACGGTGGCTCATGCCTGTAATCCCAGTACTTTGGGAGGCCAAGGCGGGCAGATCACTTGAGGTCGGGAGTTCGAGACCAGCCTGACCAACATGGAGAAACTCCGTCTTTACTAAAAAATATAAAATTAGCCGGGCGTGGTGGCACATGCCTCTAATCCCAGCTACTTGGGAGGCTGAGGCAGGAGAATCACTTGACCCCAGGAGGCGGAGGTTGCGGTGAGCCAACATCGTGCCACTGCACTCCAGCTTGGGCAATGAGTGAAACTCTGTCTCAAAAAAAAAAAAAAAAAAAAAATCCTAAACTCAGAAATAAGACAACTGACAAATACTATTATATAACACTATATATATATATACTATATATTTATACATATTTATATTTATTTATTTATTTATTTATACTGCAACTTCCGCCTCCCGGGTTCAAGCAATTCTCTGCCTGATCCTCCCAAGTAGCTGGGATTACAGGTGTCCACCACCACGCCCAGCTAATTTTTTGTATTTTTAGTAGAGACAGGGTTTCTCCATGGTGGTCAGGCTGATCTCAAACTCCCAATCTCAGGTGATCCACCTGCTTTGGCCTCCCAAAGTGCTGGGATTACAGGCGAGAGCTACTGCGCCCAGCCTTAACACTATATATATATGTATATAAAATAAATATATATATATAAATATTATATATATATATATTCAAGCTGGTGTCCAATGGTGCAATCATGGTTCACTGCAGGCTCGACCTCCTGGGCTCAAGCAATCCTCCCACCTCAGCCTCTCAAGTAGCTGGGAACACAGGTGTGCACCACCACACCCGGCTAATTTTTGTATTTTTTTGTAGAGACAGGGTTTCCCCGTGTTGCTCAGGCTGATATCAAACTCCTGGGCTCGAGTGATCCACCTGCCTCAGCCTACTAAGGTACTGGGATTACAGCTGGGAGCCACCGTGCCTGGCCAACACAGTATTTAAAAACAAAAATGAATGCAAAATATTCATGAGGAACAAACACAAACATTTAAAATAAAGACCAGATGGGGATTACTGATTTCTCCTTTCCCCTTAGGCTCCAATATGGCTTAGCACTGTACTCTACTGATTTTGTATTTATTCAAAATGGTGGTATTTTGCTCATCATAAATTATTGGCATTAATTTTAATTTTAAAAAATATTGCATTACTACAGACTCGCCAGTACTAGTGGCCAAGCCTCAATACCTTCCCTGTTCCCCTGGGATCCCTTGGCCCCACATACTTCTCCAGTTCTCCTTCCCACTCCATAGGATCAATAAAATGTCATAGACAGGAAAAAAAAAAGTGAGGCCAAGTGTGGTGGGAGGCTGAGGTTGGTGGATCTCTGGAGTCCAGGAGTTTGAGACCAGACTGGGCAACATGACGAAACTCTGTCTCTATTGAAAATACAAGAATTAGCTGGGCGTGGTGGCGGGCGCCTGTAGTCCCAGCTACTCTGGAGGCTGAGGCAGGAGAATCACTTGAACCCGGGAAGTGGAGGTTGCAGTGAGCTGAGATCATGCCACTGCATTCCAGCCTGGGCAACAGAGTGAGACCCTGTCTCAAAAAAAAAAAAAAAAAAAAGGAAGTGTTAACATATTATTTCTCCTGATTACAGAGTCTTTTGGGTGCCCCCTTAAATTCTGCACTGAGACAAGTGACTTGCTGGCCTGGCTCTAATCCTGACACTGCCGTGGGCTTTGTAGGATCTACCTTCCTTAGTCTACTTGGGCTTCACTGTGTTCTCTGCCCATTGGGACTACAAGGCTTCCTTGTCCACAGCCAGGAAGGTACGCTTCCAACCCGTAGCTCTCCTAGCTCAGGAGCCAGCACATGCCCTTACGGATCGTCCCAGCGTCCTGCGTGGAGCTCCACTTGGGGTGCCGCAGCCCCCTGGGATCTGGCCCCTGCTTCTCTGAGACAGACACGTTTCACCTCCTACCCTCCCCTCGTCCTGCAGCCCCCATGAGGTCCTCACTGTGGGGAAGGTCATGTTGATAATGTTGAAGCGACTCCGTAGCCTTGGGGAGATGACAGTCCGTCCACCCCCAGGGGGGCCCATGGCAGCCATCAGGAACATTTCCTAGAGAGCAGCGACAAGGAGGGCAGACAGGCAGGAGGGGAGAGGGCAAGAGAGGCGCCGACACAGGCCAGGTGAAAAGGAGTGGGAGGAAAACAGTGCGAGGAGGGACAAAGGGGAAGAGGAACCGGGATGCAGCGAGTTGAGAGGAACATGGAGTGGTAGGGCAGGGGGAGGGGAAGAGAAGGAAGGGACATGGGAAACTTATTTTAGTACCAGGAATGCATTTGTCTGTATTTCATCCTTATAATCCATGTACCCAAATGAGAAAATACAGGTAAGTAAAAAAACATTTGTGTCTTCTAGACTTTCTCTTTCTTCTTTTTCTCTTTTTCTTCTTTTAAAATTGTACCTATCTATACACGTGTGTGTGTATGTTCTCTCTCAAACACACATGAATATAGCACTAGGCGAGTTTTTGGCCCTGAGTGCCAGATATACACACAAACAACCCCAGGAGCCAGGCCGCGATGGCCGCTGATTAAAGAGAAGCAGCCGGGAGCATGGCTCAGGCCTGTAATGCCAACACTTTGGGAGGCCAAGATGGGAGGATCTCTTGAGCCCAGGAGTTCAAAACCAGCCTGGCCAACATATGGGGACCTTGTGTCCACTAAAAATCATAAAATTAACCCGGCACCCCAGCCTTGGCAACATAGCAAGATGCTGTCTGAAAGAAAGAAAAAAAGAAAGAAAGAAAGAGAAAGAAAGAGAAGAAAGAAAAAGAAAGAAAGAGAAAGAGAAGAAAGAAAGAAAGAAAGAAAGAAAGAAAGAAAGAAAGAAAGAAAGAAAGAAAGAAAGAAAGAAAGAAAAAGAAAGAAAGAAAAAGCAAGCAGGCAAACAATATGCTCAGAATCCCACGAAGGAGCCAGGACTGAGGGAGGATGCCTGGCTCGTGAGTGGGGAGCCGAGAACTGCTGTCATGGAGAAGGACGCTCCTGTGTGGGAAGGAATCCAAGATGACAGGACCATAGCCTGGGGCCCCAGTGGAGTGGGGACTGAGCCTATCCCAGAAGGAGCAGAGGCCTGAAGAACAGACTCTAGCGAGGCTTACTCGAATGTACTTGATGGTCTGCTTCGTACGGTCATACCAGAAGCCATAGTCAATCCAGAGGCGGATCAGCTCCAGGGGTGGCTGGGACCCAAACATGTCCTTAGCGGGCATATTTAGGTCATCCATAAAGGTGATCATGCTTTTGCCCCCGAATGGCACGTAGACACCCTTGGTTCGCTTCTCAACCCTGCTCTCAATGATGCTCTGCACGTTATTGGATGTGGTCTGGTGAAAAGGTACCGAATGAATGTGTGGGTCCCCTGAGAGAAATACGGGCTTAGAGAGGAGGGTCAGGCAGGCACTTGGATCCCAAGGGAGCCGGCAGCCTGGCCCCTGGATCCCCGACACACCTGTGCGGACATGTTGACAACGAGCACCGACCACTGGCTGGAGGGCAGGGACTGCAGAACGCTCTGGGCGATGGAGGTCTTCCCAGTCCCCACGGGACCCACCAGCAGAATGGGATTCTGGTTGGCCACCAAGCTGCTCACCAGGTAGTTGTAGCGAACAGTGTCGACGGTGGGCACCATGATCTTATAGAAGGGGGCGCTAGGGAAGAGCAGGGGCCGGCTCTCAAGGACCAGCCGCCCACTCCTTTCCAACTCCCACTTCCTTTCCCTCTACGTCACCACTGTCTCATCAGCACCCTGCCCTCCTGTGGGGCCTGGGGATCATGTGCTCCCCTCAGAGACCCTGTCCCAAGCCCTCTAGGTCCCGCTTCCTGTCCTCAAGAGGCAGCCCTTCTCTGGGACCCACCTTCTCCTTCCTATTGCTCATTTTTGCTTCTAGGCCCCATCTCTCTTGCCACATCCCCCACCTACCGCTGCCCCATGCCCTCCTCACACCCAGGCCCAGCTCTTACTTTGGAGGGTAGCGCCAACTCTTAGGGAGCTTGTCCTCAAATGATGTCCAACTCCGTATTTTGGGGTCCACAAAATACTCATATACCGTGTCCTAAGGAGGGCATGTAGGTCAGGTTACCAAAGCCTTCCTTGAGCCTTCTCCAGCCCAGAGAACGGGCCCCAGACCACCGGGTGGAAGAAAGAGAGAGGGAAACCCAAGCAGAGCCTGAGATGGGGGATGCCCAGGGGGTCTGGAAAAACAGGGCAAATAGGACAGCCAGGTGTGCGCCCAACCTTATTGGGAAAGGAGCCCTCGATCTCTCGGAGGTAGCTGTCGATCCTCTTCCGGCCCTCCTCATCCACAGAGGCACACACAGACCAGATCATGCTGAACACAAATGTCATCTCTACCATGGTGACATAGTTCTCGCCGTCAGCTGGGTTCACCTGGATGGAGAACGAGAAGAGGAAATAACCCACCTGTAAGAGACCAGGGGTCCATCTGGCAGACTCGTGACACCAGAGTGTGGAAAGCCTGGGTCTTCCTCCTTCCCTGGCTCTATTTGGAAAATCGCACAGTTTTCCAAATGTGGATGTTTATCTACAACCTGCTGAAAGACAGACAAACCTGAAATTTCTTATAGCTCAGCAGTTGCCCTGAGCTTCCTCACTGCTAACTCATGAAGATGCAGCCATCATCTGGCCACAACAGGCCTGCCCTGGAAAAGCAACCAAGGGTGCTCAGGAGACAGGTCCCGGAACATTCATAGTGACTTGTTTGTAATTGCAAAACACTGGAGATGACTGAAATGTTCACCAGTAGAGCAGTGGAAAAATAAAATGTAGTGTTCTATCATGGAATAGTATATAGCAGTTAAAGCAATGAAATGAATCTACGTGTAGTAATACAGAACTCAAAAACATATTGTTAATTTAACGGACATGTTGCAGTATATAGCATGATATAGTTTTAAAAAAAAATACCACATTTTCAGTCAGGCACGGTGGCTCATGCCTGTAATCCCAGCACTTAGGGAGGCAGAGCCGCGTGGATCACCTGAGGTCACGAGTTCGAGACCAGCCTGGCCAACATGGAGAAACCCCATCTCTACTAAAAATACAAAAATTAGCCGGGTGTGGTGGTGCCTGTTAATCCCAGCTACTCAGGAGGCTGAGGCAGGAGAATCGCTTGAACCCAGGAGGTGGAGGTTGCAGTGAGCCGAGATGGCACCGCTGCGCTCCAGCCTGGGCAACAAGAGCAAAACTCCATCTCCAAAAACAAAAAAAAAAACAAAAAACATATTTTCTATGGATACCCATGGTATTATAGGTAAAGGTGTACCTTTAAAAAGGCCTAGGCCAGACATGGTGGCTCATGACTGTAATCCCAGCACTTTGGGAAGCTGAGGTGGGAGTATTGCTTGAGGCCAGGAGTTCAAGACCAGCCTGAATAACATAGTGAAACCTGTCTCAACAACAACAACAACAACAAAGCCAGGCATGGTGGTGTGCATCTGTAATCTCAGCTACTCAGGAGACTGAGGTGGGAGGATCACTTGAGCCCAGAATGTTGAGGCTGCAGTGAGCCCTGATCATGCCATTCCAGCCTTGGTAACAGAGCAAGACCCTGTCTCTTAAAAAAAAAAAAATTAAAAAAGAGGTCTGGAATGACATACACAAACATACTACAGTAGTTACTTGTGTGGAGTGAGGAGCAGATCAGGACTGGGAGGAGAGAGGGGAACAAAAAGGACTTTAGCTTTATATGAAAAATTATTATTTTCAGAAAGGGAACTTGATTCAACAATTATCTGTGTAATTAAAAATTAAAATGTAAAATGTGGCCTGGTGTGGTGGCTCATGCCTCTAGTCCCAGCACTTTGAGAGGCTGAGGCAGGAGGATCACTTGAGTCCAGGAGTTTGAGACCAGCCTGGGCAACACAGTGAGACCCCATCTCTAGAAATAATCAAAAATTAGCTGGGTGTGATGGCGCACGCCTGCGGTCCCAGCTACTCAGGAGACAGGAGAATTGTTTGAGCCCAGGAAGTTGAGGCTGCAGTGAGCCGAGATCACACCACAGCACTCAGCTTGGGCAACAGAGTGAGACCCTATCTCCAAAAAGATAAAATGTAAAATGTACCAACTTAATAATGGAAAGAGCATATTTAGAGCCCATGCTCTCAACCCCCTGCCCAGAGGGCACGTGACAGATATCTTTCTTCTGACTGGGCGCATGGAGCACATGGGGCCATCCCACCTCTCTCAGGCCTCTTGGAGACCACAGACAGCAAACTCGGCATCCTTCAAACCATCCCTGGCAAAGGGATAGTCTGCTTTACTATGCAAAGCAGACACAGGCCCGTGGGTGGAGAGCGCTTGAGGATGGGTTGTGAATTAAGATACCTAGGACCACAGATAATGTGATACACTTGGTGCGTCCAATCCAGAATACCGATCTTGGGTTTAGAGAGTAATCCTCAATCCTGGCCAGGAGTGGTGGCTCACGCCTGTAATCCCAGCACTTTGGGAGGCCGAGGTGGGTGGATCACCTGAGGTCAGGAGTTCAAGACCAGCTTGACCAACAAGGTGAAACCCCATCTCTACTAAAAGTACAAAAAATTAGCTGGGTGTGGTGGCAGGCACCTGTAGTCCCAGCTACTCAGGAGGCTGAGGCAGGAGAATCGCTTGAACCTGCAAGGCGGAGGTTGCGGTGAGCTGAGATCGTGCCACTGCACTCCAGCCTGGGCAAAGGAGTGAGACTCCATCTCAAAAAAAAAAAAAAAGAGTATTCCTCAATCCTATAGGTGGGAAATTATGTTAAGAATCAATTGTCTGCCATTTTCAGTCCAGAATCCTTAGTCTGTGCTCCCAGCCTTTCTCAGCACACAACCCATCTCACCATCCTCATGGTCCAGCCCTCTCCTCAGGGTCTCTGCCACGCTGAAGCGCATCTACACAAAAACACCACCCACCACATCCGGCTACAGACCACCAGCTCGGCCCGCCCTGCCAGGCCTGACTCCTGTGTGTCTGCACTTCTGCAGAGGCCACTCTTGCCCTCTGCTCACCCGGGAAGCCTCCCCTACCCAGCCCGTCCTTCTTGACATCTGTGGGCCATTGATAACTCGTAACTGCCCTCTGCCCACACAGTACCTGGCAAGTCCATCTGCGGTTTTTTGTTTTTGTTTTTGTTTTTTGAGACAGAGTCTTGCTCTGTCTTGCCTAGGCTGGAGTGCAGTGGCACAATCTTGGCTTACTGCAGCCTCTGCCTCCTGGGTTCAAGCGATTGTCCTGTCTCAGCCTCCCAAGTAACTGGGACTACAGGCACGTGCCACCACACCTGGCTAATTTTGTATTTTTAGTAGAGACAGGGTTTCACCATGTTGGCCAGGCTGGTCTCGAACTCCTGACCTCAGGTGATCCACCCACCTCGGCCTCCCAAAGTGCTGGGATTACAGGCGTGAGCCACCGTGCCCAGCCCCATCTACATATTTTTAATTTACATTAACTGTACCAGGAATGACATATGTTCCTACAGATCTTAATTGTTGATGACATATTAATAGTTTAATTACCTAGCAACATCTTTAAAAACAATACAAACCATTTATAGGCAGTGATTTAATCTCAACAGAAGATATCAAATTTTGGTCCTTACTTCTAAACTGAGCACAGTTTTTCTTAAATATAGATTAATCTGAAATGTTTAAAAAGTCCTCTCATCAGAATAGCCTGGGAGCTTCTTCTAGGAGAAATGGTGTCCCAGGGCCTCATCTACGCCAAAACTTATATTTTGAAGGGATGGAGAAGTGAGGAGCGGAATGAGCTATTTTCAGCTCCCAAAGCATGGGTGGGAAATTATAGTGAGATCCCATTGTGTACATATTCAATTCAGAACCCCTAGTCAGACCTTTCAGCTCAATGCACACGTGCACACACACAGACATGCACACACACACCCCTCACTGCCTCCATGGTCGTTGAAGCCTCCCCCTGGAGTCTCTGCTCCACTCAAGCCTGGAGTTCAACCTGTCTCAGACACGCCGTTTCCCAGAAGTTGTTCTGGTGAGGCTGTGAGCACCCCCTGCCCCTGCCCGTGGTCTGTGTCCTCCCCTTACCCCATTCTCTGGCGTGGCCAGGGCAGAGTACAGCTTGCAGAGGGAGGTGATACCGCTGTACTCGGGCAGGGGCACCAGCTCCTTGCAGTTGTCCTTCTTAAAGGCCAGCATCTTGTTGATGAGCTTTTCGAACATGCGTTGAAGGGGCTCCACCTCAGCCTGGAGTTGAATAAGAAGGGGCTCTTCATTCACCCTTGTGTCCTGGAGCCACCCTGGTTACTTTCCCTCTCCTCAGTTCCCTTCATACCTTTGGCCTCTTCTCCAGCCATGACTGAACATAGGGCTTCCAGCCCAGGTCAGCGTAGTCAGTGTAGACCATCCCGCAGCGGGATACAGTGGCCGGAGAGGCCATTGCCAGGTCCTCCACTTCAAACAGGAGAGACACCTAAGGATATACGTTTGTCAGAACTTCATCTTTCTCTGCATCCCCCACCTTCAGGAATAATAAAACACCCGGAACTCGGATGCTACAAGTTCACAAACGATTTGCTTTTTTTTTTTTTTTTTTTAAGACAAAGTCTCACTCCGTCACCCAGGCTGGAGTGCAGTGGCGTGATCTTGGCTGACTGCAACCTCCGCCTCTCAGGTTCAAGCAATCCTCCCACCTCAGCCTCCAGAGTACCTGGGACTACAGGTGCACAACACCACACCCAGCTAACTTTTGTATTTTTTAGTAGAGATGGGGTTTTACCCTGTTGGCCAGGCTGGTCTTGAACTCCTGACCTCAAGTGATCTGCCCACCTTGGCCTCCCAAAGTGCTAGGATTACAGGCGTGAGCCACCCGGCCCGGCCCAGTTTGCTTTAAAAGAAACTAGAGCTTATTCAAGGTTGTCCTTTTGAAAAATCACTCTCTTGCTCGCATTGTTGGAGTGGGTGGAAAAGGGTGTGCTTGCCAGTCCGTGAATTCATACCTCTGGGTGCACAAACGAGGGTCCTGCCTCATGCATCCGTGAGAACGAGCCGAGGAGGGCCGCCCAAGCCTACACAGTGCTTACAACAGAGGGTGTTTTTCTTATCATTGTTCTCAACAGCCGCGGCAAGCAAAGCATTTTTCTTCAGCTGCAGGTTTCCCTGAATCCAGGCATCCACCTTTCAGCTCTCTCCCACAGAACCTGCCCTGCTCTGAGATTTCTGGCTCTCCTCCCCAGCCCCGGCCCACGCCCTCCGGTGCCTGCCTCTGCAGGCCTCCAGGAGTCAGCCGCGTCCCTGACCTGCTCGGGCATCGCGATGCGCTCGCCGTTGATGAGGGTCAACACCTTGTTATCGTCCATGACGGAGTTCATGTTCTCGATCCACAGTGTGTCCACGGGGCCATCGAACAGGATCCACTTCTCGTCGGGTTTCTCATCTGAGTAGATGGTGGGTGATGAGGAAACCGGGGAGCCGCTCACCTTGCACCCTCCGCTCACGCTCCTCGGAGACACAAGCCTACACTCCCTTGTACTTCAGCATTCCCCAGGCATTTCTCTCCCAACTTGGAACTTCCTATCCCCAGACTCCCTGCCCCCTTAGGAGACTCAGGCGTCTGCTCTCCACACCCCACGATCCTCTGGATACCTGCACATGCCGTCCGCATGACACTGGACAAGATGCCATCTGTCCATTCATTGGTGCTGAGGTCATATTCCCCATACAGTTCCCCTAGGGACAATGCCTTGGGGTTCAAAGGGAACTCCTGAAAATGACACCGGAAGGGGTTTTAGCTGCTGATGGACAAAAACCCCTCTTTATTTCCAGACCCCTCTTAGGTACGTGCATTTGTCCCTTCTCTCATCGCTCCAGGCCACCATGGTCCCAGGTACAGCTCTCCCGGCCTTGCAAGGTCCTCCCTGGCCCCCACCCTCCATTGTCTTCTTACTACTCAAGTCTCTGCCCACTGACTCCACTGTCCCAGCCCCGTACTCTAACAATGTTGAAGTTAGGGTCTCCGGCGCGGCACAGAGAGGACAGGGAGGCCTGTAGAATGCGCCATGAGGCAGTCTTGCCGCTGCCCGTGCAGCCCACGATCATGGTGGAGTGGCGGGAGTTCTTGGTTTCATACAACTGGAAAACCTTGGTGAGGGTGAACGGCGTGCTTTGCAGGCCCATGTCTCGAATCTCCTGCTCAACGGTCTCCCGCAGCTGAGGGAAGGGAAAACACAGCAAGCAGAAGAAAAAGGATGAGGCCTTTAAAGGGCTTTCAAAATCTCCCCGGTGCCAGAGAGAATACGTTCAAACTGTTAAAAATGGCACCAGGGCCCTCTGCACTCCGGCTCTGTTCACTCATTGGGAAGCTGGCCCATTGCAGAGTTGAAAGATTGGGCTCTGGAGTCCGCCAGCCTGGTTCCCCAGCTCTCAGCTATGTGATCCTGGGTAAGTTACTTCTCCACGCCTCAGTTTCCTCATTGACACAGTGTCTTACATGTAGCTCTACACACTTTTTGTTATTATTCAGCAAATATTTATTAAGCCTGTACAATGTATGCCAAGCACTGTGCTGGTTGCCACAGATACGGCTTGGAACAAAATAGATTTCGTCCTATTGCAGAGCTCACAGTTTGGTGGAAGAGCCCGTTTAATAGTAAAGACATTATTACCTAAGTTAAAAAGTAATGCTTGAAGAACCATGACCTAACAGATGGGCCCCAGAATAGTGTGCCATTTTTAAACACACAGCTCATGTAGCCAAATATTTTCAAATAGATACAAGATAGTTACTTGCACTAACAGGCCTCACTAATTCCACTTCCTTCCACTATCTGAGAAGTAGTTTTATTAGTATGTTTTCTGTGTGCACATGTGTTTAGTGTCCTAAACAAGTTTAATGTCACATTTTCTACTTATTCAGTTAAAAAATATTCTCAGCCAGGCGCGGTGGCTCACGTCTGTAATCCCAACTCTTTGGGAGGCTGAGGCGGACAGATCGCCTGAGGTCAGGAGTTCGAGACCAGCCTGGCCAACATGGCGAAACCCCGTCTCTACTAAAAATACAAAAAATTAGCCGGGTGTGGTGGCGTGTGCCTGTAGTCCCAGCTACTCAGGAGGCTGAGGCACGAGAATCGCTTGAACCTGGGAGGCGGAGGTTGCAGTGAGCCGAAATCTCACCACTGCACTCCAGCCTGGGCAACAGAGCTTTTTTTTGAGACTCCATCTCAAAAAAAAAAAAAAAAATTCTCTAATTTCTTCTTTGATCCATTAGTTATTTAGAATTGTATTGCCAAATTTCCAAACACTCGGGCTTTTTCTATTTTGTCACTGTCTGTTAAAAGCATTCAAATGCATCTCTTTATGGATTTTTTGGTCTGTTTGCATTATCTGTTCCTAAAAGAAGTAAGTCAAGATCTCCCACCAGGGCTGTGGATTTATGTGTTTCTCCTTATGGTTCTGTCCAGTTTCTTTTATGGATTTTGTAGCTATATTATTTAGTGCATACAGATTTAGAACTCTTATAACTTTCTGTGTATTGATCCTTTTATCATTATGAAATGTCACTCTTCACCTTTACGATTGCTTCTTGCCATAAAGTCTGCTTTGCCTGATAGCAGTAGAGTTATCACTGTGATCAGAAACTGTGGTCTGAATATCTTCCTTTGACATTTTTGAGGCAAATTTATGGCCTTTACATAGTCATCAATTTTCCTTTTCCTACATGGTCCAACAATTTTCTATGTGTGCTTGAAAAATATGGTTATGCTTCAATTATTTATTTTATTTTATTGAGTTGAGTTGAGGTCTCACTCTGTCACCCAGGCTGGAGTGCAGTGGTACAGTCATGGCTCAATGCAGCCTTGAAGTCCTGACCTCAGGTAATCCTCCCACCTTGGCCTCCCAAAGTCCTGGGGCTACAGGCATGAGCCAACATGCCTGGCCGATTCTCCAATTATTGAGTCCAGTTTCTATAGATATCCATTAAATCATGATTGTTGATTGTGTTCTTCAAATCTTCTATATCCTGATTTTTAGTCTGTTTGCTCTATCAATTAAGAAATATTAAGCTCTCCACTATGATACTAGATTTGTCTCTTTCTCCTTGTAATTGTGCAAAATTTGCTCTACTTATTTTGAGACTATATTATTAGATGCACAAAAATCTAGAATTGTTATACCTTCCTGATGAGTTGAAACTTTTATTATTATGAAATAGCCCTCTATTTCTAGCAATGCTTTTTAGCTCAAAATCTGTTGTCCCATATTGCTACCCTAGCTTTCTTTTGATTCGTATTTACTAAAACTAATTATTTACTAATAATTATCAAATAATAGAAAAAACATCATTTTCTATTCTTTGACTTTCAGCCCTTTGTCATTAAGCTTTAGATGGGTCTCTTGTAAACATTATAAAGTATCAGTATAACAATGTATGGTTACTTTTCCTTTCTTGGGCAACTTTTTTTGTTTTCCCTAGGATCTAATAGTTTTTGTGATTTTTGTTTGCTTAGGTTCTGTTTTTTGTTTTTTTTTTTTTGGAAACAGGGTCTCACTCTGTCACCCAGGCTGGAGTGGCACAATCTCACAATCTCAGCCACTGCAATCTCCACCTCCTGGGCTCAAACAATCCTCCTGCCTCAGCCCTCCCAATAGCTGAGACTACAAGCATGAGCCATTACACCTGGCTCATTTTCACCATGTTGCCCACGCTGGTCTCAAACTCCTCACCTCAAGCAATCCACCTGCTTATGCCTCCCAAAGTGCTAGGATTACAGGTGTGAGCCATCATGTCCAGCCTGTTTGCTTAGGGTTTTGTTTTTGTTTTTGTTTTTGTTTTGCCCCCATGTTTGCTTAGTTTTTAATGTGCTTATCTCTAACTCAATTCCAAACTCTACCAGTTGACTAAATCTTTCAAACAATTTTCACATCGGGTATCAATTTCTTCTTTAAAAAGTCATCCTGGCCCGGCGCAGTGGCTCATGCCTGTAATTCCAGCACTTTGGGAGGCTGAGGCAGGCGGATCACCTGAGGTCGGGAGTTCGAGACCAGCCTGACCAACATGGAGAAACCCCGTCTCTACCAAAAATACAAAATTAGCTGGGTGTGGTGGTGCATGCCTGTAATCCTAGCTACTCGGGAGGCTGAGGCAGGAGAATCGCTTGAACCTGGGAGGCGGAGGTTGCGGTGAGCCAAGATTGTGCCATTGCACTCCAGCCTGGGCAACAAGAGTGAAACTCCATCTCAAAAAAACAAAACAAAACAAAACAAAAAAACAGTCCTCCTGAAGACTTCAGGTTTGCTCCAGTCTGGATTGGCTTCTCTCTTTGCCCAGTGCACCACCATCATCCTGTGACCTCCATTCACCAACACCCCGAGGATTACTGTAGCCTCCCCCTTGCACCAAATCTTTTGTTTCCCATCGTCCTTTTCACGATGTGTTCCTGTGTTTAAGTAGAGCACGTTTTTCTAGTAGCTTTTGGAGAAAGTAGTTGTGACTACAGGAGCACACCTCCATGTGTGGCTATTTTTTTTTTTAAGAGATGGAGGTCTTGCTATGTTACCCAGGCTGGTCTTGAACTCCTAGCCTAAAGTGATCCTGTTGCCTCAGCCTCCAAAGTGTTGAGATGACAGGCGTGAACCACCGCACCTCGCCCCTATCAGTTTCAATATCTGAAGTAAGTTTTCATGGATCTGATTCCACTGTCTGTTGTTCTTCTGGCTCCCATTCATGGTTTCTTGTTTCCTTGTGTGTTTTGTGATTTTTGACCATGAGTTGCTCATTTTCTTGGACTTTTACCTGTGGCACTTCTTTGAAGTGTGAGTTGAAATTTCATTCCTCCAGAAATAATTTGCTTTTGCTTCTTCCAGTCACCTGGGGGCACTAACAACCTAGAACTACTTAATATTGAAATCTAAGCTTGAGATTTCTTTTCTGATTACACAGTAGGATAAATGATGACTGGAAACCATGTGAGAGCTGGTGTGTGGTTAGGAAATCTCAAAGAAAATTTGGTCTTTTTCTTCCATCATCAGAGGTCAAAACAAGCAAGTTTCTTTCCTGTATATACGCTTCTAAATCTCAGACTTCTCGTTTTTCCATCTACTGGGGATGTTGCCCCTTGGGGACTGGGGTTTATGCAGCACTGCATCTTCTGTTATATCTTCAGACTTGGGTTGTTTCATCTCCTATCCTCACTGCCTTAAGATCAACAACAGTTTTCAGGGAGAAGGCCAGCTTTGGTACTTACCTGCCTCCCAGGGTTCCTGCTTTTACTCCCTACCCTCCTCAACTCCTGGAATTCTTCCTTTCTTGCCAGCTTAGCAATGCATTAAAAAGGATGTTATTATTATATTTTTATCCATCATTTTAGTAGTTTCAATTGAAAGGATCATTCAGGGTATCTAGACTACCACACTGCCAGAGAAGAAAGTTCTTATGCTTTCTAAAACTCCCTCTTCCATTCTGCTGCTCTCTGATACCAAATGGCTTCTAGCAGCCCCTCCTCAAAACTCCCTGATGAGGTGAGAAGTAGAGGCATGGAGGACTGATGGGCACGGAGAAAGTGCAAAGGCAACGGACTAGAGGTTTCAATGAAGTCAGAGCGTTGCTGCATGGATGCACTTGAGCAGGTACACTTGAGTAGGTCAGCGGAGGAGGGAGTTGTGGTCAGAGAGCAGAATGTTTGAATAGTCTATTGCTTTATAGATAAGGAAGTCCAAAGAGAGGTCAATTGACTTGTTCAGAGTCATAGCTAGTAGATGGCAGAACAAGGACTGGAAGCCAAGTTTTCTATTCCCAGATGCATATTCACATATGTGGTCAGGGAGAGTGCGGTTTTTTTGTTTTTGTTTTGTTTTTTGAGACACGGTCTTGCTCTGTCACCCAGGCTGGAGTGCAGAGGCACAATCTCAGCTCATTATAGCCTCAATCTCCTGGGGCTCAAGCAATCCTCCTACCTCAGCCTCCCGAGTAGCTGGGACTACACTCGTGTGCACCACCATGCCTGGCTAATTTTTGTACTTTTTGTAGATACAGGGTTTCACCATGTTGCCCAGGCTAGTCTCAAACTCCTGGACTCAAACAGTCTGCCCACCTCGGCCTCCCAAAGTGCTGGGATTACAACCATGAGCCACAGCACCCGGTCAGGGAGAGTATTAAGGAACAAATACCTTGCCATAGTCAATGACAGGCAGCTCAATGTTGGGAAACAGATCTTGCACGATGGCATTGAACAGGGGTGCATCAACTGAAGTGAGCTTGGCGATGTTCATATCTCTCATTGAGAGCAGCAGAACCTGAATGGGAAAAGACAGAGACTCAGGCTTGAGGAGGCAGGGCCTAGGCCTTTCACCTCCAAAGGGCTTCGGGGCACGTGCCAAGAACAATGGATACACCAGTTAGCCATTAGCAAAGCAGCGGGCAACACGGGGATGGGACGAGGTGGGAAGGTGAGAATCCCAATCTGAGGAAAGAAAGGGTCTGAAAGACTTGAGAGAAGTGACATAGGTCCAGTGACAGTGGAAGTCAGGTCCAAAGGCTGTGTCCTTGCTCTACCTCTTCATCAGTCAGATCCGGCTGTAGGCGGCGCTTCTTGCCAGCATAGCGCAGAAGGGAGGTGAGGGCACGCAGGCCAAAGTCATAGTGGTCCTGTCTGGACAGCTGCTGCACAGCCAGTGAGTAGAGTGTGTACACCTTCTTGGCCAGAATCTGGGGAACCAAAACAGAGGAGGAAACAGTCCATCTCCCCACAAATCCCTCTGCTTCATCTCAGGACAGTCAGAGACAAGAAGCCAGGTCCCAGGACATGAAGCAGCTAGGAGGCACTCTATGGATTCTCCTGAGGAAATTGTGTGAATGACGCCATTGTCAGTTAGTGATATCACGGAGGAGACACCTCCCTCCCCTAAATTTTTCTCCCCACACATCCTACTGACAATAGTCTAAGTTCCTTAGAGGATAAGCTGATTGTGAGGCCCTTGGGGAGCTCCTCTGTCCAGGGAATAATTATGAAAGGAAATTAAAATCACTGGAGAAAAGGGGTTATTGGAGTACCTTGCAGTTGCCAAAGCCCTCTCCAAAGAGAATGATTTCTGCAATGAGGGTGGAGTCAGGCACCACCATGGCAATTGGGCGGAACATGGATTTAAGATTTTCGGGAAGCTCTGTGCGGCCAGCATAGCCTGGAAAACAATGCCACTTGCTTAGAATCATATATTTCCTCATCTTGATTTGCTTCCCCAAACCCACTTTCCAATCAGTCTCATTTTCTCCCACCCTAACTCCATCCCTAACTTTCTCTCCAACTCCAAGACCACATCCTTTCTCATCTCAGCCCCAGCCCTTCCCAGTCCACTTTGGTCTTCTCTCTTATCTCTGGTCCTTTCCTTACTTTCTGCATGGCCTTGTTTCAAACTCAAATCACAGAGCTGTCAATTTCCCATCTCTCCAGGTTCTGTGTGTATAGCTCTCATCAGTCCTAATAGAAATCACAGCTGTTCCTCTTTGTTCAGTTCCTAAACCCTTTCCTATCCCTGTGCTGTCCTAGACCCTTCCCCCAGAGTTGTTCCTAGGAAACAGTAATGAGAGACCCTAGAGCCTGCTGCAAAAGAGATGGCAGAGAGACCAGAACTCTTGGAGCTAGCCTAAAGGGAGAAGAAAGCTAAGTATCTTAAAAGATGAGGGCTACATATACACACATAAGTGGTTATTAATCCCTTTGGGGAAAACAGTAAGATTGCTTCCCCTTCTCCCGGAAAGTTGTGTTTATCCTTCTCTCCCCTTTGCTATCTTTAGCCAGACTTCACTTAGCTATATACATTCGCATGGAAGGGGGAAGAGGAGGATGCGCAGTTATTTCCCCTGAACACCCAGTTCTTCCCACCCCAGGAGTCCCATCCACTCCCTGCCACCTACCAGGATTCATGGTAATGAAGATCCCACAGGACCACACCAGATTTATTTCAAAGCCATCAAAATGGAAATGGGTGAGGCCGGCAGCCAGGGCAGACAGGATGCACAGGATCTGGTGGGCCACCACTGACAGCACCTCGATGTTGATGCGGTTAAACTCATCAAAGCAGCCCCAAGCTCCAGTCTGCGGGGTGCAAGGCAGAGTCACTGGGAGCGAGAGGTGCCCCAAGAGGCTAGAAAGCGTGATTAACGCACCCTTCCTTCAAATGTTTCAATAGGCGAGGCGGCCTCCAGACTAGGGGGCAGGGAGGAGGGCACCAGAGTACACTGTTGTAGCTTCTGGCCAGAACTTTCCATCAGATGGGGCCAATCTGGGGTGATGCTAGAAAAGGTGTGGGTTGGAAAGAGACTGGGGTAGGGAACTTGTGTGCACTGTCTACTCTGCTCCAGTTAACACACATTATTTTCTTTAATCCTTTATAATCTTCTGATTTTGCAAATAAGCTACATGAAGCTCAGGAAGGGGAAGGGACTTTCCTAGTTGTAAGAATTATACGTGGCTGGGCGCAGTGGCTCACGCCTGTAATCCCAGCACTTTGGGAGGCCAAGACAGGTGGATCACCTAAGGTCAGGAGTTCGAGACCAGCCTGGCCAAGATGGTGAAACCCCGTCTCCACTAAAAATACAAAAATTCTCCGGGCTTGGTGTCACACGCCTGTAATCCCAGCTACTCAGGAGGCTGAGGCAGGAGAATTGCCCGAACCCAGCAGGCAAAGGTTGCAGTGAACCGAGATCATGCCACTGCACTCCAAAAAATAAATAAATAAATAAATAAGAATTACATGTGATGCAATGTCATGAAGCTACAAAGCACTGAACCAGATTTGGGTTTCAGTTTATTTTCTGGGACGAAAAGGTATTTAAGGGGCTTCTGGCACAGGGTGGCAGGATACTGACCTGGGCCAGACCTGAGTACATTCGGCCCATGGACTTGTAGTCCAGGCCCTCAGAGCAGTTGACCACAATGACATATATGCCCAGGGCCTTGCCCAGGTCCTTGACGGTCTCGGTCTTGCCTGTGCCTGCAGGGCCTTTGGGGGAGCCCCCTCGGTGCAGGTGCAATGCCGTGGTCAGTGTCATGTAACACCTGAGAATTGAGGACAGAACTAGAGTCAGACTCCTGGAAGCCTCTCTCAGCTTCTGCTGCCCCCCACCCCAGCCACCTCATTCATCCCACATGGCAGACCTGTCCGTCAGGGGGGTGATGACGAGCCGGCCCGAGTTACCCAAGTACTCATAATTATACTGAAATTGCGTGTTGGTCTGGCGGATGACACAGTCATCAAGATCCTGGGGAAAACAGCGCAGAAAAAGAGAGAGGTGGGCTTGGAAGGAGAGTTAGAGCTGGGACAATGACTGAGAGTGGGGCTCAGAGTTGTCAGGGAGGCTGCAGTGAAGGGATCAGGGGTTCCCTTTTAGAGTTGAAAAGGGGAGCGGTTTATGGGCAAGATGGAAAATGGGTTTCATGTTGCACATCCACCCCGACCCAATGCAGCAGCTGCCTGGAGTGTTTCTGAGTCCTGTTCAAGTGACATTCATAGTGAGCCCTGACTGGGACAACTACTTGCCACTCCTGATTGTGGGGAGGAGATGGAAGGAAGAACCGGATTAGGGTAGTGGGACAGGACTAAGGGTTGGCTTAGGATATCCTTGCATTTACAGAACATGGATGCAATAAAAGCATTAGGATCCATTTTACGGTAAGAGAGTGGGGAGGTGGCCCATCTGGCACCTTCTCCCAGTAGAACCGAAGTTGGCTGAGCCAGTCAAAGGAATTGACATCCATGAGGCCACTCTTGTAAAGCTTCTCCAACACATCCCGGGCATGAATTTCTATCGTCACCAGAGCCACAATTTTAAGCCGCATGATCTTGGTCAAGTTCCCCCTGATGGCTTCTGAATACTTATTCAGGATTGACACCTGTGGCATGAAGCAGCAGGGAAGAGAGCAGACAGAGCAATGCCGCCAAAGCCTGATCAACCCTTGCCCCTACCCAGCACCGCTTCCAACCCGGTGCTGACCCCACCTGCTGTAACTCCTGGTAATTCTGCTCTACCACGGACTGCCCCCACTGGACTTCCATCATAAAGCACCCTCGCTCTGGCCCTTTTCCACCAGCTCACCTCTAATTCTGACTGCTCCCTCCCTGCAATTCTAGCTCCAGGCCTAGCCCATACTTGCAGAGCACCCACCTACTTTTTTCTTTTCTTTTCTTTTCTTTCTTTTTTTTTTTTTTTGAGACAGAGTCTTGTTCTGTCGCCCAGGCTGGAGTGCAGTGGTACGATCTTAGCTCACTGCAGCCTCAACCTCCTGGGTGTGCCACCAGCTAATTTTTGTATTTTTTGGTAAAGAAGGGGTTTCGCCATATTGCCCAGGCTGGTCTCGAACTCCTGGGCTCAAGCGAGTGGGCTCCTACCACCTCTGCCTCCCAAAGTGCTGGGATTACAAGCATGAGCCAGTGCGCCCAGCCTCTCACCTGGTTCTTCTTCATGACCTTGAGGATTTTCTTGTCTGCCCGCTCCTTCGCTGTCAGCAGGCACTTGGTGACATCAGCCGTCCACTGGATCTGACTGGCAGTGATCACCACCTGGGGATGTGCAGAAGCCACGTCCCAAAGCCCTGTCCTTGGCTACACGCACAGCCCAGCTCCCAAGTCCCAGCTAATTCAAGAACCATGTGCCTCTCCCAACTGCACCCAATCTGCTCTGAAGGATGGGACATGGGCCTCAGGTCAGGAGCTAAGGGTCCAGCTTGGAGTGTACCAGAGCCACAGCTCAGAAAGGGGGGTAAGAAACCACACTGTGTGAGACTCAAGATTCTGTCTTTCCACTGGCCACCTCCTTTTAACTCCATCTTCTCGTTCCCTCATTTCTTCATTTCTTTCTTTTTTTCTCTTTTTTTAGACAGAGTCTTGCTTTGTCACCCAGGCTGGAGTGCAGCGGCACAATCTCGGCTCACTACAACCTTCACCTACTGGGTTCAAGCTATTCTTCTGCCTCGGCCTCCTGAGAAACTGGGACTACAGGAGCACACCACCACACCAGATAATTTTTTGTATTTTTAGTAGAGACGGGGTTTCACCATGTTGGCCAGGCTGGTCTTGAACTCCTGACCTCAAGTGATCTGCCCACCTCGGCCTCCCAAAGTGCTGGGATTACAGGCGTGAGCCACCGTGCCCAGCCCCTTGTTCCCTCACTTCTGTTGACCCCAGCTCACCTGGCCAGCCCACTCCTTCACCCATTTGTCCCTCTTGTTGAGGAACTTCCTGAGGGCCAGGTGGCAGTTCCGGAGAAGGTCCCGCAGGGTCACCCTCATGGTCTGTTCCACATCGCCAAGCCAGGACTGGGGGGAGGTGGGAGAATAGGGCAGCTCAGCCTGAGGGGGCACGGCCAAGGTCCTCCACAGGGAAGGCACTTATGGAGCAGCACTTCAGGGCTTTGTACCCAGAGAAAAGCGGGAATGGCCAACAGCTGGCTTGCGTTCCTGAGAGAAATGGAGGCTAGGAGGCAGATGATCTGACTTTCAGAAGGAAATTTCGGTTCAGAGCAGAGATGGTCATTGTCAGGAATGGCAGGTGAGATGGGAAAGAGTGACTAACGGCCATTTAAAGAGGTCTTCTCTCCTCATGGAGCCAGTTGAACTTTCTTTTTTTTTTTTTTTCTTTTTTTTTTTTTGGTTTTGAGACGGAGTTTCACTCTTGTTCCCCAGGCTGGAGTACAATGGCGCAATCTCAGCTCACCACAACCTCCGCCTCCCAGGTTCAAGTGATTCTCCTGCCTCAGCCTCCCGAGTAGCTGGGATTACCAGCATGCGCCACCGCGCCCACCTAATTTTGTATTTTTAGCAGAAACGGGGTTTCTCCATGTTGGTCAGGCTGGTCTCAAACTCCCGACCTCAGGTGATCTGCCCACCTCAGCCTCCCAAAGTGCTGGGATTACAAGTGTGAGCCACTGCGCCCGACCCAGGTGAACTTTCTGTAGGAAGAAGAATCAGCTAGGTCCTCAGACCCTCACCACAACTCACCTCCACAGGGCCTTCTAAAAATACTGAGTGGAGGAAGTCAATGTACTCGCCGTCGCCCGAGAACATCCCCACAGCTTCCCATTTGCTGCTGGGCCCTCCAACCTGCAGAAAGCAGAAGCTACTCAGAGCCTGGCCTGCCCACCCTTGGTGTCCGCCTAGAAGTCCTGGGGCCTTTTGAGGATAATTACTGCTCCTCTCCCCTCCTCTCAATATTACCAATTCTAAGAAGTTCTATCCCCCTGAGAATTGAGAATCATTAATTAACATGGCCCTCCTTTTGGGAGGGCAGGGTCCCCTCCAAAGCTTTTCATACCCCAACACCCTCCCTTCGCCACCCAGCATCTCACTGTGGCCACTTCTACTGACCTTCTGGATTCTCAGCAACTTGATGTTGTCAAAGCATTTTTTGAGGTGTGGCTGCACAGCCTCTGGGTTTCGGGACTGGCCCAGAATCTCCAGCAGGTCATCATTGGACAAGAAGTAGAAGCGGGGGAAAATATGTCGCTTGGTCTCTAAATACATATCCAGAGATTTCTGAATATCTTCCAGGATTGTATTCATTTCTATCAATGTGTCCAGGAGGCCTGGGAAGAAGAGCGATGAATGACATTTGATTCATTTCCACTGCCCTGGGCGGATCTGGATGCCCCAACTCTGTGTTCTTTGCCAGCTCTTGAACAGTGGGGCACAGACTGCCATGAGGGTTTCTGGACGCAGAGAAGTATCCCCAGACTGTCTAACATGCTCAACCCATTCTCTCTGTTAATTCATTACAGTATTCATTATGCACTATTGTACATGTTACCGTTTATGCATTGATACATCATATATGATTTCATTAATACAGTAATTCCCCCTTATCCACAGTTTCACGTCCCATGGTTGCAACTACCTGCAGACAACTGTGGTCCGAAAATACTGAATGGAAAATTCCAGAAATAATCCCTAGGTTTTAATTGCACACTGTTCTGAGTAGTGTGATGCAATCTCTCACCATCCTGCTCTGTCCCCCAGGATGTGAATTATCCCTCTGTCCAGCGTCTCCATGCTGCGGAGGTTCCCTGCCCGTGAGTCACTTAGTAGCCCTCTCGGTTATCAGATCGACTGTTGCGACATCACAGCAGTGCCTGTGTTCAAGTGACCCTAATGTCACTTAATAATGTAAGCAAAAGTGCAAGAGTAGTGATGCTGCCAATTCAGATACACCAAAGAGAAGCCGTAAAGTGCTTCCATAAACAGCTTCCTTCCTTTAAGTGAAAAGGTGAAAGTTCTCAACTGAGTTTGCTGAGATCTACAGTAAGAATGAATCTTCTGGCCTGGCACAGTGGCTCATGCCTGTAATCCCAATACTTTGGGAGGCTGAGGTGGGTGGATCACTTGAGGTCAGGAGTTCAAGACCAGCCTGGCCACCATGGTAAAATCCCATCTCTACTAAAAATACAAAAATTAGCCAGGCGTGGTGGCGGGTGCCTGTAATCCAAGCTACTCGGGAGGCTGAGGCAGGAGAATTGCTTAAACCCAGAAGGCAGAAGTTGCAGTGAGCCGAGATTGTGCCACCGCACTCCAGCCTGGGCGACAGAGCGAGACTCCGTCTCAAAAAAAAAAAGAAGAAAAACAGAATATGAATCTTCTATCTGTGAAACTGCGACGAAGGAAAAAGAAATTCATGATAGTTTTGCTGTCACACCTCAAACTGCAAAAGTTACAGCCTCAGTGCGTAATAAGTGCTTAGTTAAGATGGAAAGAGCATTGAATTTATGGGAGGGAGACACGAACAGAAACATGTTCTGATTGATGGCAATTGGGTTCACTACTATCTGAGGTGTCAGGCATCTACTGGGGGGTCTTGGAACATATCCCCAGTGGGTGGGGGGGACACTGTATAACACACCCACCTAAGAACTTGGGGGTCCGTCTTCCTAGATTTCCCATAGGCAAAAAAGAAAAGAAGGGCTGGAGGAAGAACTTGGGGATCCACTGGCCAACCCAAGAGCTTCTGAAAAGTAGAGATTACCCTCCACTTACACAATCTAGCAAGCTAAATAATTTTATTTAGATACATGGCATGTGCACACAGTGAAAGAAATCTGCAAGGACTGGGGTTG
This sequence comes from Homo sapiens, assembly GCF_000001405.40. Classification (NCBI taxonomy): domain Eukaryota; kingdom Metazoa; phylum Chordata; class Mammalia; order Primates; family Hominidae; genus Homo; species Homo sapiens. Next base: position 7,773,237 of record NC_000017.11, on the reverse strand, counting down.
CCAATGTCCTTCATGTCATAGCAGAAAGAGTCCCAGAGCAGGCGGCAGAAGACCCCCAATCAGATAGTAGTTCTTTCACTTACTGTCATGTCAATTCACCTCACTGAGTTTTGACCTTTTTGTGTACAAAATGGCAATAAAATCCATCTCAAAAACCAACGTGAGGCTGGGTGTGGTGGCTCATGCCTATAATCCCAGCACTTTGGGAGGCCGAGGTGGGTGGATCACTTGAGGTCAGGAGTTCGAGACCAGCCTGACCAACATGGTGAAACACCGTCTCTACTAAAAAAATACAAACTTAGCTGGGTGTGGTGGCACACGCCTGTAGTCCCAGCTACTTGGGAGGCTGAGGCAGGAGAATTGCTTGAACCGGGAGGTGGAGGTTGTGGTGACCTTAGATCATTCCATTGCACTCCAGCCTGGGCAACGAGAGCAAAACTCCGTCTTAAAAAACAAACAAACAAACAAACAAACAAACAAACAAAAAACCAATGTGAGTAGTAATTGAAATGTATTCACATCAGTAGCTTCTCAATAATGTTAGTTTCCTCCCAGCCTACAGCCCCATACCTCAGGCCTTGATTGATTTTCCCCTTGTCTTCCCAGTTCCTAGCTTTCTGAAGAAAGGAGGGACACTAGTGAGTGTGAACTCAGAGGTGACCCTCATGCCTTCAAGCACAGGGTCTACAGGCTGTTGGATCCTTTGAGTCAAACCTGAGTGACCCCTGGAGATCACAGGCATGCTCAGTAGCCGTGGACAAGATGGATTTGTTCTGTGCATTCAACAAAGGGATCATTGTTTTTTTGGCTTTGCTTATAAATTGTTACGGAATATAATTCTGTCAATTATTTCAAATAGTATCAGTTGTTGTCATTCAACTTTGCATACCATAACTTTTCATGTTTATCTTTTATCAGAATAATTAAAATTATTTTTATTGATGTGTATACTGAAGGCTCTTGGGAAAATGAAGCACTGTTAAGACTAGCCCTAGGTAAAATAAAGAGGTCCTCTGCACCCCCACCAGAATTCTTCTGCACAGGATGCCCATTCTAGGTGCCCGCTGTCAAACCTGACTCCCTGATTGTCTACCCCAGTCTCCCCCAGTCGACCAGGCCTCACTATGTGTTCATCTTGCCGTGTGTTCATCCCTTTCTTCCCCATACCCTACCCCATCCCATGGCTGAAGGCTAGTTAATCTGCTAAAAGAAAGTCAACGTAGGCTGGGCTCAGTGTCCCACACCTGTAATCCCAGAACTTTGGGAGGCTGAGGGAGGTGAATCACCTGAGGTCAAGAGTTCAAGGCAGCCTGGCCAACTTGGTGAAACGCCATCTCTACTAAAAATAAAAAAATTAGCCAGAGGTAGTGGCACACGCTTGTATTCCCAGCTACTTGGGAGGCTGAAGCAGGAGAATCATTTGAACCCGGGAGGCAGAGATTGCAGTGAGCCGAGATCGCACCACTGCACTCCAGCCTGGGCAATGTGCAAAACTCTGTCTCAAAAAAAAAATTTTTTTTAATAAATAAATAAACTCATCTGACTGATTCCATATCCCATGCTCTTAACCACTACATTATTATACTCCACTCAAATATTTGTTGAGTTTAATTTACAGAATTATGATCTAATGCTTAGAAGAGGTGATGGAGATGGGAAATGTTAGGAGAGCTGGGGGCATCAGTCTTTTTAATAAATGAAGCACGCAACCATGACCAAGCAGAGTGCCTGCCGAGGCTGTGTCAGGGCAGGAGCCCTGGAGCTCTGACCTGGGTGATGGGTGCTCCGGAGAGCATTGTTGTCCTTGTTCATCCTGTCCATGATGGCTTTCCAGTTGCTGTTGACCTGGTCAAATAAGGTCGATTCATTGGGCAGCTGCTTGCGGATGTCTTCTCCTAGGAAGATATTCTGAGGGGGCCAAAAGTTGGGGTGAGAGGCCACTTCTTACACACTCTCCACCCTCTGCTCCCTGTTCCCAGATTGTGGGTGACAGTTGGGTAGAAGATACAGAGTGCTAGAAGTCAAAGGCCAAGATGCCCAAGTTCTACAAGGAAAGCTGGAGGTAGGGGGCCAGCTACCTGGGTCTAAGAAGAAAAATGGAAGAAAAATCTGAGAAGAACAAAAACTTGTTACGGAGGGAATCTAAGGTGAGAGGTAATAACTAAGAATCAGACAGCTGGGTCCTAGATGAAGAGTGACTTTAAAGGTAGGAGAATGAGGCTGATAACAGGGCAAAATCTAGGTCTTAAGAAAAAGAAGGAGTAAGAGCAGGAAGCAGGAAGAGCTCAGGCGCTGAGTCCTGACCTCTAAGTACATCCACTGACGCTGCACTGTGAGAATCATCTCAATAACCTCCAAAATGAGGGAGAGGCAGCGTTCCCAGTGGTCCACATCCTTCTCAAAGGCCTTGACAAAGCGTGATGCCTTCATGGTAGACAGAGCTACCTGGTTATCTTCCAGTGCCTGGAATACTTCTTCTGTACCTCTGAGACACAAGGGGTCAAAATCATAGTTCATCCCCACCTGCCCAACCTTGGTCCCACTCTGCAGCCTGGGTCACACAGCCCTCCATTCTCCTAGAGCCCCAGCTCCCCTGACCTGAGCCGATGATGGCCCTTATCCTTGTAGGGTACTATGTCGAGCTGAGTCACATCCCAGGTCTTGGCAATGTTTTGTAAAGCCTGTGGAGAGAAATTGGGGGACACAGCAGTCAGGTATCTCTTCACTAAGGGGAACAGGAGCTGAGAGGCGCCATCAGATGATGAACAGCTGGAGCCTGTGCTCCAGGAGGCGCAGGAGGTGTGGGAGCATGGGAGGGGACTGTCGTACCACTTCTATAGCCAGCTCTTTAGTTGCTGAAGCAGAGATCTCCCCAATTTTCTCCACATGCTGATCCATCCCAAGCTCCACAATCTGCTCCAAGGTGAAGCTTTCAGATTCCTGATCAAACTCCCGCTGGATCTCATCCCGGACCTGGTCCCAGTGCCTGCAGCCAGGAACAGGAGGGTGTGAGGTCAGGAGAGTTACCATCACTCCATTGCTGTCTCCCACTGGGACACTATGATTCTGCATAGTTACCAATTCATGATTCAACTCATTTTGCTAAACAGGCTCGAAGATGCAATCTTAGGCACCAGGGGAATACGAAGATTGAGGTGAAACCCTCCAGGAGTGGATTCTCTGGAGAGGAAGTTAAGGCAGGTGTGCCCACAAAACACACAATGAATCACCGCAGGTTTACTCTAGAACTGTACTGAGTAAAGGCCTTACATGAAACATCTCATATCATTCTCACGGCTACTCTATAAATTAGGAATTATTATTATTCCATTTACAGATGAGAAAACTGAGGCTTAGAGAGGTTAAATAATGTAAGCAAATAAAGTGGTTAGGTTATACATAACCGTATAACACTTAATGGTTTGGCATTGCCAAAAACGTTATACTGGAAGAAAGACAAAGAAGTAAAATTATTTTCTCTTAAATGGATAGATCATGATTGAAACACCATTTATAAAAATTACTTTATTTTTATAAATCTATCCCCAATGGTTTGAGATACATCCTCTGCCATATAATAAATTCCAGATGAATTAAAAGAGTTAAACCTGAGAAACACAAAGCATTAGAGGAAAGAATGAAGAGGATGTATTTGTAACTTTGGGATAGGAAAGGTCTTCCTAAACAAGGCACAAAGGCAAAAACCATACAGAAAGAAAGTTATACTTCTGGCTACCTCAAAATAAAATCTTTTGTATAACAAAAGACATAAGGCGGGACGGGCACGGTGGCTCATGCCTGTAATCCCAGCACTTTGGGAGGCCAAGGCGAGCGGATCACTTGAGGCCAGGAGTTCAAGACCATCTTGGGCAACATGGCAAAACCCCATCTCTACTAAAAATACAAAAATTAGCAGAGCATGGTGGCAGGTGCCTGTAATCCCAGCTACTTGGGAGGCTGAGGCACAAGAATTGCTTGAACCCGCGAGGTGAAGGTTACAGTGAGCCGAGATCACAGCACTGCACCCCAGCCAGGGCAACAGAGTGAGACTTTGTCTCCCCCACAAAAAAAGGAAAAAAAAAGACATAAGACTTAGTCATGATAGACAACTCCCTTTCAGAGAGAGGGAGGCCCCAGGGCAGGGGTCAGAGAACAAGAAGCCAGCAAGGCTGGATGACCCGAGACAGTGCAAGAAGCAGAGGACAGTGGCAGGCTTGGTGTCTGCGCCACATGTTCGCTGAGCACTATTTGCAATAGCTAAGATGTGGAATCACCCTAAGTGTCCATCAAGCGATGAATGGAGGATGAAAATGTGGTGTATATATACAAAGAAATACTCTTCAGCCTCAGGAAAGAAGAAAATCCTGTCATTTGCAACAACATGGAAGAACCTGGAGGACATTATGCTAAGCGAAATAAGCCAGGCGAAGAAAGACAAACACCGCATGATCGCACTCATATGTCATATGTAAAGTCTGAACAGGTTGAACTCACAGAAGCAGAGTCGAGTGCTGGTTACCAGGGGCTGGGGGTGGTAGGTGGAAAGTTCGGGAGGTGTTGGTCAAAGGACACAAAATTTCAGTTAGACAAGAGGGATGATCTCCTGTACATCACGGCAACAATGGTTAATAACAATCTATTGTATACTTGAAAATCACTGAGAGTAGCTTTTCAGTACTCTCACTACAAAAAATAGGTATGTGAGGTAATGCATATGATAATTAGCTCAATTTAGCCATTCTACAATGTGTACATATTTCAAAACATTATGCTGTACACCAAAGTGTATGCAATTTTCATGCGTCCATCAAAATTAAATGTTAAAAAGAGGAAAGAGAAAAAGACATACATTTGTGGACAGAGGGGAAGAGAGGGCTGTGAACACTGCGGAGAGGAGAATGGGAGGGACCAAGTGGTGGCGCAGGCCAGCGGGGCAGAGTGGACACCCCGGAGCAGAGGAGAAGCCTCACCTCTCTCTAAGGGCAGGGTTCCGCAGGTCTGAGATGAGAGGCATGGTCCTCTTGAACTGCTCTATTTTTGAGCGAGTGGTTTCAATAATTTCCCAGTTTCGGTCCTGAGCAAAAGTTGGGGGCATGAGAAGACCCGACGACCTCCCTGGGAACAGACCCAGATCCTCCACCAGCTTCTCTTCCGCCTCCCCGCCGTTTCTCCCCACCTTATACTCTTTGGCTAATTTTGTGAGGCGACGAAACAGCCCGTGGGCCGTGGTCTCCATGGTTTCCGTCTGCAGGATCAGGAACCGGCCAGTCTTCCACTCATTCCAGTTCTCCTCCCAGTCTCGTGCGATCTCCCAGATTTGCTGGAGGGCATCGAGCTCCTACAGGGCAGAAAGGCGCGTTGCATGAAGTGGCACCTGCCCTCTTCCTCCCTGACGGACGCCCAGGCCCTTCGCTGCTCTCGCTCTGTGAAGCTTCCCCTCTAGATAATACAGCGGCCTCCTCAGTCCACATATTTTTCTCCACTCTGTTGCCTTAAGAGCTTATCAAGGAACAAGCACATGAAAAAATCCTCAATGTCATGAGTCATTAGGGAAATGCAAATCAAAACCTCAGTGGGATGCCACTTCACACCCGCTAGGATGGCTAGAACCAAAAAAAAAAAAAAAAAGGTAAATAAGTGTTGGCACGGAGATATGGAGAAATAGGGAGACTTGTACACTGCTAGTGGGAATGTGAAACGGTGCAGCTGCTGTGGAAAATGGCTTGGCAGCTCCTCAAAAAGTTAAACATAGAGTTTCCATATGATCTAGCAATTCCACCCCTAGGCTTACACTCACAAGAATAGGGAACAGGTGTTCAGACAAATACAAGTACACGCGTGTTCATGGCAGCACTACTCCCTTTAGCTAAAAGGTGGAAACAACCCAAATGTCCATCAACTGGTGAATGGTAAACAAAATGTGGTAAACTCATGCGATATTCAAATATGAATATTCAGCCATTTAAAAAAGTACTGATCCATGCCACACCATGGATGAACCTTGAAGACATTATGCTAAGCGAAAGAAGCCAGATTAAAAAGGCCACGTATTATCATACAAATGGTTCCATTTGTATGAAGTGTCCAGAATAGGGGAATCATACACATGGAAAACAGGCTCATAACAGACTGGGGCGGGGGACGGGGGACTGGGGCGGGGGACGGGGGATGCACGTGACTGCTAATGGGCAGAGTTTCCTTTAGGGTAATAAAAATGTTTGGGAATTAGATAGATGTGGTATGAATTACTAAACGTCACGAATTGTTTACTTCAAAATGGTTAATTTTGGCAGGGCGTGGTGGCTCACACCTGTAATCCTAGCACTTTGGGAGGTCGAGCCAGGTGGATCACCTGAGGTCAGGAGTTCGAGACCAGTCTGGACAATATGGTGAAACCCCATCTCTATACTAAAAATATAAAAATTAGCCATGCATAGTGGTGGATGCTTGTAATCCCAGCTACTCGGGAGTGTGAGGCATGAGAATCGCTTGAACCCGGGAGGCAGAGGTTATAGTGAGCCGAGATTGTGCCACTGCACTCCAGCCTGGGTGAGAGAGCAAGACTCTATCTCAAAAAAAAAAAAAAAAAAAAAAAAAGGATTAATTTTGTTGTATGAATTTTACCTCAACTGAAACAAACAAAAGCTCCTTGTGAGCTCCTCTCCCTTCCCACTGCCTTTGTGGGCGCTAAGGACCCATTCTCCTGTCCCTGCCCCTTATCGACAGTGACCACAGGGTCCTTGCTCAGCACACCACCTTCTCCAGGTTCTGAAGGTCCTTGGAGGGTGGCTGCTCGATCTTGAAGATGCCCAGGTTGGCTCGGAGACTATTTTCCTCTTCCCGCATGGCCATCAGCATGGCCCGCACTTGTGTAATCTGGTCTAAGGCAGACATGTATCCCACGTTGCTGGTGAAATGGCCTGTGGAGGATTCAGGATGAAGCTCAGCTTCCCGCTCACGTCTGGCAAGGACAGCCATGGCTCTCCTATCTCTTTGTGGGCAAATCTCACCTCTCTCCTCACGTGAGAGAGGGAAGGGAAGGAGAGTAAGAGGGAACGCGTTGAAAGAATAACGGTTAATCTTAGCAAAAACTCCTAAATGTGGCTTGAGAGTCAGGAACAGATGGAATATGGAAGTCGGGATAAGAAAAGTAGAAATGCGGGCCGGGCGCGGTGGCTCACACCTGTAATTCCAGTACTTTGGGAGGCCGAGGCAGGCAGATCACAAGGTCAAGAGATCAAGACCATCCTCGCCAACATGGTAAAACCCTGTCTGTACTAAAAATACAAAAATTAGCCGGGTGTGGTGGCATGTGCCTGTAGTCCCAGCTACTCGGGGAGGCTGAGGCAGGAGAATCGTTTGAACCTGGGAGGCGGAGGTTGCAGTGAGCTGAGATCGAGCCACTGCACTCCAGCCTGGTGACAGAGCGAGATTCCATCTCAAAAAAAAAAAGAAAAAAGAAAAGTAGAAATGCTGTGAGCTGCGCCGCTGTCTACCCAAAACGAGAGCCACTGAGTGTCCTCCTCCTTTGCTCCTGAGTGGAGGCTCTTCCCCCACCCCAGCACCGACCCTCCTCCTCCCCTCCCAGTTCTCGCCTTCCCAGGACCTGGGCTTGGAAGGCGGGGTCTCTAAACAAAGGCTAAAGAAGCGGGAGAGGTGGATCAAGGAGTACCTTTGAATTCGAAATCTTCCAGAAGTGTATGTGCTTTCTTCTTGAAGTCATCTGCCGAGTGGATCAGGCCTGTCTTGAATTTCTCCTTGTGTTTCTTCAGCATTTGCTTACTGTCCAGCAGAGTTTGTTGGAAGACAACCCACTCCCCGTTGAGACTGTCCAGCATCTCCAGGACCTGGGGGAGTCAGAGAGTGGAGGATGACCAGGAGCAGGAGGTCTGCCCTCTCATGCGTGGAGGATGACCAGGAGCAGGAGGTCTGCCCTCTCATGAGTGGAGGATGACCAGGAGCAGGAGGTCTGCCCTCTCATGAGTGGAGGATGACCAGGAGCAGGAGGTCTGCCCTCTCATGCGTGGAGGATGACCAGGAGCAGGAGGTCTGCCCTCTCATGAAAGTTTTTAAGGACTCTTTTCTGATCCTCCAGACCAGAGTCTGGGGACGAGTTTTGCACATGTGACAAGGGCTAAAAAAATCAAGGTGTGAGTTTGCCAGGCCTAAAAGAAACCCTGGCCGGGTGTGGTGGCTCACGCCTGTGATCCCAGCACTTTGGGAGGCCAAGGTGGGAGGATCACTTGAGGTGCCTGTAGTCCCAGCTACTCAGGAGGCTGAGGTGGGAGGATCGCTTGAGCCCAGGAAGTTGAGGCTGCAGTGAGCCATGATTGCACCACTGCACTCCAGCCTGGGTAATGGATGGAGGCCCTGTCTCAAAAAAAAAAAAAAAAAAAATCCAAAAGCTGTATATCTGAGAATGAGGCCAAAACCAAAAAAAAAAAAAAAAAAAAAAGTAAATACAGTAAGTAAATCCAGCTGGGTGCGGTGGCTCACACCTGTAATCCCAGCACTTTGGGAGGCCGAGGTCAGCAGATTGCTTGAGTTCAGGAGTTTAAGACCAGCCTGGGCAACAAAATGAGACCCCCATCCCTACAAAAAATACAAAAATCAGCAAGGCGTGGTGGCGTGTGCCTGTGTTCCCAGCTACTTGGGAGGCTGAAGTAGGAGAATCACTTGAGCCTGGGAGGCAGAGGTTGCAGTAGGCCAAGATCGTGCCACTGCACTCCAGCCTGGGTGACAGAGCCAGACTCTGTTTAAAAAAAAAAAAAAGAGGAAGAAGAAGAGGAAAAGAAAAGAAATCCAGAAGCTAAGTAAAGGTATCATTTGAGCTAGCTTTGGCTTTCAAATCTAGAGTCTCCTCCTGCTGTCACTTCTCTACTCTCCCCGAGGACAGCCAAGGGCCTCCCCCGCAATCTGCTGCTGATACGGGTCCCAGGTAAACCAAACACCAAAGGAACTCACACTGTCCTCGACTGGCACCTCGTACTTTTCAAGAATGGCAAATTGCTCGTGTATGGGAGGGATCTGAGTCTCCACGTTGGCCAAGTCGTGCTTCAGGGCATCCACGAGCTGCAAGCTGACCCCCAGTTCCTCCAGTGTCTGCGGAGGGCGGCTGATTCTGAAGGCGGGCAAAGGGAGTGCTAGTGAGTGGAAGGCCCAGTGCCTGCCCCTGCCCCCTTCCTGTGGGGCGCCCCAGCCCGCACTTCTCTGCGTTCTCCTTCAGGTAGGTGTGCAGCTCCAGGAGGCGCCCAGCAGCCATCTCCCTGAGCAGAGTCGCGAACTTGTTCTGCCATTCATTGCAGTGCTGCACCAGGGAGAACTTGAGGTGCGAACAGTCCAGCAGCACAAACTGGATGTTGGTGACTGTCTCCTCCTTCTGCACGTTATTAGCAACTT